>NC_000023.11:90644360-90947390 GCF_000001405.40 Homo sapiens | reverse complement strand
ATGTAAAAACATTAGGCAAGACTAGAATCTAACAAGTTTGCTATAGTTTTTGAAACATAATTTTTCTCTCTTCAGTTTCCCATTTTTCAATTTTATTTTACTTGCTTTATTATACTTGGCCTGATTATAGAAAAGTGCAGGAAGAACAATTATTTTTTAAATGGGCTTTTTAAAAATTGGCTTTGATGAAACTTCGTTCCATAGAAGAAATCTCAGATAAAACTTTTTTAAAGTCGAGCCAAGCCATGGCTTTGTAACATCAAATACCTATGAGTCGGGTAAATTCCTCTGTTCTTGAGATCCCAAGATAATCTGGAGCTCCCAGGCCTGTCAGAAAGTGACATTCTTTACTTAGTACAGGTAAGGAGCCCTGTACAGGGACTGTGTAGACAAGGTATAAGGCCAGATTTCTCAAGGGGCTTTTATTGGCTCTATAAGTCAAGTTTGATTCCTTAGAAGAAAGCACTCTATTCCAGTCAAAACCTTGGTAAAATAACCAGTTTCTCCAACTGTGTTCTGTTACATAAAAATACAAATGGCCTAGACATTGAATGAATATCTATTATTTATCTTAATATAACTTTAGATTTTAAATTATAAGACAAGATTATCTAAAAGCATTTATTCCATTACATTTACCTAATTAATTAGTTTTTAAAAATAGTTTACCCAGATTACTTATGAAAACTGGGATAATTATTTAAAGTTATTTCCTTGTTGTCTATGTTTATAACCTGTGAATTTCAGGTTTTCCTCAGTAATAAATTTAAGTTTAGATAATTTTTTTTTGCCATTAACTCCGGATTTAGCTATTTTCATTAACCAAACAGTATTAACTATCTTATTTATTAAATTTTACATAAACAAGTATAATTTTCTTTTGAGCTGCATTTATAGCTTTATAAACCTCATGACAAATTTTGATATATAGCAGAGATAAATAATGTGCATTGACAATTCTGAAGCCATTTCTAATTCTATTTCATTAAAAATTCTAAAAACCAGCTTATTTAATAAAGATTTACTTAAGTCATGTGAACTTTAAAAAGCATTAGGCTCAAAGCCTCTATTTTTCTGATAAAGTATTTGATTTAAGCTTTTGTAAGCAAATTAATTAGAACTTCTTTATACATTTTTAGTATGAAACATCATATACATGACACATAAATGCACAGACGTATTAGACATGTAGATAGAAGTAGATCTTATAAATTTAGACCTCTATTTTTTCTCCTATTTTAGATTTCCAATTTTTTGATAACCTATTTTATTGCCCTAGGCAATTGTCAGCTAGATAGCCCTAAATGTGCATATTAAAGGAACTCTTTGGTGAAAAATCAGATAGCAAAATTTACATCTCAAAGTACAGAGAGAGTCTTGTGGTGCTAGAGAAAGATTAAAGATAGATGCCAAATCAAACATGAAATTATAGAAATATAGGATTGTATAAGGAGACCCATTTGTTTTTAGATAGGGACTATCTATCTTTTCATTGGATCCCTAAGCTCTAGGCAGAGCCCACATTGAATCCTGGGGCTCCAAAAAGGGAGAATTATTATGAGGCTAGACCACATGTTGCTTTTACAGTGCACTGAAAAAAATTATTTTAAAGAAAAACTTTTAAGTGTCTAAACTACACTCTTCTTTAAAAACTCAAGAATAGCTTCTGTTGTAATAACTATTTTAGTCAAAAATCAGCTAACACAAGCAGTTTAATATCTGAGCCAAACTTGTCTGTTTACACCCTTGGAGTACCATAAAGAAAAACAGAGGTTACGCCCCAGAAGGGAGTGTGGCACAATCTCCCCCCACTTTTTTTTTCTTTAAGAAATTTCAGGCTATTATAAACTATTTTAGGTCTCTCATGCAGCAGAGGGTGGCAAGAGAAAGGAGAGACAGCAGAAGTAAATGGAGAAACATAATTCAGTCAGCTGAGAAGAAAAAAACTTTTGTTCCAAAAAAAAAAAAAAGACAAGGTCCAAGGAGAGAAAAAGAAAAAAAATGAAGACCTTTTAATACAAACACACATATGCACCCATACACACACACATCTTGGATGTTAACTTTAAGCTGGCTTTTAACCATTGCGTTCCTTTAAAAAATCTTTTTAAATCTATTTGCTATATTTTAGCTAGAACAAATTGCTAATATTTTAAGAGTAACGAGTATCAAACTAGAAAGGGCTTGATTTAGGAACCAAGACAGGCTGTCCTGGTGGACAAAAAAAAAAAAAAAAAGGGCAACCAGAACCTTAGCTATGGAACTGCAGCATGGGGCAACAGCCATTGCTCTTTCAGTTTGGCTTGGCTAGCAAAAAGGTGGCCTTGTTATGTAAATAAAGCCCCTTAAGTAGTCATAATGTAAATCTTCCCTTATTTCTTTTGCTGGCCGTTTTCCTCCACACCCCACTTTTTTTTTTTTTTTTTTTTGGCAGAAATTTAGCCACTTCAGATGTCTTCTTCCCAATAATTTGGAACTTTCCTTCAGATTTGATGAAGTCAGATAGAGCTGGTAAAACCCAATGGGAAAAAGACTGAAAACAACAACCAAAACAGAAACAAACAGGTAACAGCAACAACAACAAAAAAAGCAGTTAAGCAAAACAAAGAAATGATTGAGCACTGTAATGGTAATGAGAAATTAAGACCAGCTGGTTGTTAATCTTAACTTTAGCTGAGACCAAACCCCAACTAAGCTACTGACATGGGGATGCGTCTCAGGCTGAGGACTGCTCTCTACCATCCTAGAAGCAGAAAAAATAACCTCCAACTTGCCTTCCCTTTTAGAAGTGAGCTCAAACTCCAGAAAAGAGTTATCTGCTTTGCATCCTCATGGAAGCAGGAAATCTTGCCTTCATTGTTGGAAGCAAGTAAAACTCCAGAGAAGGAGTTATACAGCAAAATAAACTGTCGATTTCAAGCAAATTTTGGGAGACTAGAGGTCCTCTGGAGGGAGGGTAGCTTCCAAGCCTCAGCAAATTGTCTTATAGGTTTGAGCCATAAAGATAGCTCAAGCTGGTACCAAGCCCCCATAAGAGATTTGTCAAAGGTCAGGACCACCTCCACTCAGAGTTCCTTCCGTTGGTCACCAAATACAAACTGAAAATATGTGAGACAGGTCTCAGTCAACTTAGAAAGTTTATTTTGCCAAAATTAAGGATGCATGCCCATGATGCAGCCTCAGGAGGTTGTGATGAGAATTGCCCAAGGTGATCAGGGCACGGATGGGTTTTATACATTTTTGATGAGACATCAATCAATATGTGTAAGTTGTATGTTGGTTCAGGAGAGACAACTCAAAGCATGAAGGAGATTTCCAGGTCATTAGTAGGTGAGAAACAAGTGGTTGCATTTTTTTTTTTTTGAGTTTTTGTTTAGCCTTTCCAAAGAAGGCAATCAGATAATGCATTTATCTCAGTGAGCAGAGGGATGACTTTGAATAGAATGGGAATCAGGTTTTCTTTAAGCAGCTACCAGCTTGACTTTTCCCTTTAGTGTAGTAATTTGGGGTCCCAAGATTTATTTTCCTTTCACAACATGAATAAACATTTCTCAAAAGATAACCAAGTGGAAAACAAACATATAAAAAATGCTCAGCATCATTAATTATCAGGGAAATGCAAATTAAAACCACAATAAAATACCACCATATTCCTGTAAGAATGATCATTATTAAAAAGTCGAAAGAAAAAAAGATGTTGGCATAGATGTGGTGAAAGGGGTATTCTTCTAAACTGCTGGTGGGAATGTACATTAGTACAAACTATCGAAAACAGTGTAAAGATTCTTTAAAGAACTAAAAGTAGATCTACCATTCAATCCAGGATTCTTACTACTTGGTATCTACCCAAAGGAAAATAAGTCATTATATGAAAAAGACGCATGCACAAGAATGTTTATTGCAGCACAATTTACAATTGCAAAGATATAAAACCAATCTAAGTGTCCATCAACCAATTAGTGGATTAAAAAAATGGGGTATATTTACACTATGGAATACTACTCAGCCATAAAAAGAAAAATATTGTCTTTTGCAGCAGCTTTGATGGAGCTGGAGGCCACTATTCTGAGTGAAATTTGGTAGGCCAAGTACTATATGTTCTCCCTTATAAGTGTGAGCTAAGCTATGAGAATGCAAAGGCAAACACAGTGATATAATGAGCTTTGGAGACTCAGACGTGGGAGAGAGGAAGAGATTTGAGGGATAAAAGACTACATATTGGGTATAATAAACACTATTTAGGTGAGAGTTGCATTAAAACCTCAGAATTTACAACAATATAATCTATCTTCGTAGCCAAAAGCATTTGTACCCCAGAAGCTATTGAAGTAAAAAAATTTTTAAAAACCCAAAATATTCTCTGAGAATTAGCAACTATTTTGCATGAACCCTCTTTTGTAATAGTTCCAAAATTATAATTTTCTAATTCTATTTATAGGTTATTCCTTGATATTCTATTTATGTATCTATTTATTAATAGGATGAACTCATAGGTTTTTATAATTTATCCACTGGTTTATAATTTATTACTATACTTACTTTGGTATTAAATTGCCCAGATTTGACAGTGACACATTTTTCAAGGTAGAACCTCTCTCATTGTACCACATTCCCAACCTATCAAGATGTTCTAAGTTTATTTTGGACCCATACTGCAGCAGGCCAGAAATCAGATGCTTCTGTCAGGGAACCCTCGTTCCTTATAGAATAGTACTAGAAATCAAAATTTAGGTGTTAGTTGTGCCCATTGCTGTTGGAATGACTTTGCTTCTAGGTTGTCTCAGTGCTAGGGATAGAAAATATATGCCTGTTAATACACATATGTACATGTACACATATGTACATGTACACATACACTTTCATGAATATGTTCAGATGGATAGATAGATACATAGATAGATAAATAGACAGACACACAGATACACAGATAGAAATATTTTATACTAATACCTCTAATACCAGTCCATCCCCCAGGGTTCATTCTTGATTTAACACATTTTATATTTGTATTTTTCTTCTACCATAGTGAAAAACCTGGTTCAGTCAATCTGTTTTAACCACAAATATTTATAATTTTCAAATATTTGTGTTGGGCGTTCCCAAGTCCACTTTTACATTCTGAATCACTGCATTAGAAGCTGTTATTCTTATTGTTATCGTTTGTTACAGAAAAAGGATACAGATCAGAATGAGTAAAGAGGAAAGGGGCATAAGGCCATGTCCAAGAGAAACCAGATGCAGCATTCTCTTCTGTGTTAGTCCATTGTGCATTGCTCTAAAGAAATACCTGAGGCTAGCTAATTTATAAAGAAAAGAAGTTTATTTGGCTCACAGTTCTACAGGCTATAGAAGAAGCATAGTGATCACATCTGCTTCTGGTGAGAGCCTTAGGATGCTTACACTCATGGTGGAAGGTAAAAGGGGAGCAGGCATGCCACATGGCATAAAAGGGAGAAAGAATACGGTGATCCCAGTCTCTTTAACAACCACATCTAATATGAACTCACTTACTGTAGAGAGGGCATCAAGCCATTCATGAAGAATCCTCTTATGACCCAAACACCTACCATGAGAGCCCAACTCCAACCTTGGAGATCATATTTTGATATGAGATTTGGAGGGGAAAATATCCAAACTATATTCCTCTACTCCTAGCCCCCCAAATCTTATGTTCTTCTCACATAGCTAAATGCAATATATTTCCAATAATCCCAAAATGTCTTAACTAATTCCAGCATCAACTCAAAAGTCCCATTTTCCACCTAAATTTCAGAGGATGTATGAAAACGCCTGGATGTCTAGGCAGAGGTCTGATCCAGGGGTGGAGGCCTCATGGAGAACATCTGTTAGGGCAGTGCAGAAAGGAAATGTGAGGTCAGAGGTCCCACACAGAGTCCCATCTGGGGCACTACCTAGTGGAGTTGTGAGAAGAGGGGCACTATCCTTCAGAATCCAGAATGGTAGATCTACCAACAGCTTGCACCATGCACCTGGAAAAGCCGCAGGCACTCAATGTCAGCTCATGAGAACAGCCACAGGGGCTGAACCCTGCAAAGCCACAGGGGTGGAGCTGCCCAGGTCTTGGGAACCCAGTCTTCGCATCAGCATGTGCTTGATGTGAGACAAGGAGTCAAATGATATTATTTTCGGGCTTTAATATTTAATGAATGCCATGGCTATTAGGGATTTTTTTTGGTTCCATATGACTTTTAAAATGATTTCTTCAAATTCTGTGGAGAATGTTAATCATAGCTTAATGGAAATAGCCTTAAATCTATAAATTACTTTGGGCAGTATGGCCGTTTTCATGATATTGATTCTTTCTATCCATAGCATGGAATGTTTTTCCCATTTATTTGTGCTCTCTCCGAATTCCTTGAGCAGTGGTTTGCAGTTCTCCTTGAAAAGGTCCTACACTTCCCTTGTTAGCTGTGTTCTTAGACATTTTATTCTCTTTGTAGCAATTGTGACTGAGAGTTCATTTATGATTTGTCTCTCCACTTGCCTGTTGTTGGTGTATAGAAATGTTAGCAATTTTTGCATAGATTTTGAATCCTGAGACTTTGCTGAAGTTGCTTATCAGCTTAAGAAGATTTTAGCCTGAGATGATGGGGTTTTCTAGATATAGGATCATGTTATTTACAAACAAAAATAATTTGACTTCCTCTATTCCTATTTGAATACCCTTTATTTCTTTCTCTTGCCTGGTTGCCCTGGCCAGAACTTCCAATACTATGTTGAATAGGAGTGGTGAGAGAGGGCATCCTTGTCCTGGGCCAGTTTTCCAGGGTCATGCTTCCAGAGTTTTCCATTCAGTATGATACTGGCTGTGGGCTTGTCATATATTGCTTTTTTTATTTTGAGATATGTTCCTTCAATACCTAGTTTATTGAGAGATTTTAACATAAAGGGATGTTAAATTTTATCAAAGGCTTTTTCTGCATCTATTGAGATAATCATGTGGTTTTTGCCTTTAGTTCTGTTTATGTAATTAATTTACATTTATTGATTTGTGTATAAATCTGGAGGCATCATGCTATCCAACTTCAAACAATACTACAAGGTTACAGTAACCAGAGCGTCATGGTACTGGTACAAAAAGAGACACATGGAAATGGAACAGAATACAGAACTCAGAAATAAGATCATATACCTACAATCATCTGATCTTTGATAAGCCTAACAAAAACAAGGGATTGGGAAAGGATTCCCTATTTAATAAATGGTTCTGGAAAAACTGACTAGCCCTATGCAGAAAACTGAAACTGCACCCCTTCCTTACTGCATATACAAAAATCAATGAAAGATGGATTATAGACTTAAATGTAAAACCCAAAACTGTAAAAGTCTAGAAGAAAATCTAGGCAATACTATTCAGGATATAGGCACTGGCAAAGATTTCATTATGTAAATGCCAAAAGCAATTGTGACAAAAGCAAAAATTGACAAACAGGATATAGTTAAACTAAAGAGGTTCTGTCCAAAAAAAGAAATTATCATCAGAGTGAACAAACAACCTACAGAATGAGAGAATTCTGTTTCAATAGATCCATCTGACAAAGGTTTAATAGTCAGCGTCTAGAAGAAACTGAAACAAATTTAGAAGAAAAAACAAGTAACCCTATTAAAAAGGGGGCAAAGGACATGAACAGACATGAACAGTCACTTCTCAAAAAAAGACATTTGTGTGGCCAATAAATATATGAAAAAAAGCTCAACATTACTGATCATTAGAGAAATGCAAATCAAAACCACAGTGAGATACCATTTCATACCAGTCAGAATGGCAATGATTAAAATGTCAAGAAACTACAGATGCTGGCAAAGTTGCAGAATAAAAAGAACATTTTTACACTGTTGGTGAGAGTGTAAATTAGTTCAACCATTGTAGAAGACAGTATGGCAATTCCTCAAAAACCTAAAGGCAGAAGTACCATTTGACCCAGGAATCCCATTACTGGGCATATACCCAAAGGAATATAAATCATTCTATTATAAAGATACATGCACGTGTATGTCAATTGCAGCACTATTCACAATAGCAAAGACATGGAATCAACCTTAATGCCCATCAATGATAGACTGGATTTAAAAAATGTGGTACATATACACCATGAAATACTATACGGCCATAATAAGAAACATGATTATGTCCTTTGCAGGGACATGGATTGACTGCAAACTAATGCAGGAACAAAAAACCAAACACTGCATATTCTCACTTACAAGTGGGAGCTGAATGATAAGAACACATGGATATATTGGGGGGAACAACACACACTGGGGCCTATTGGGAGTGAGGGTAGGGGAAGGAAGATCATCAGGAAGAATAGATAATGCATGCTGGGCTTATTACTAAGGTGATAGGTGGATCTGTGAAGCAAACTACCATGGCACATGTTTACCTATGTAACAAACCTGCACATCTTGCACATGTATCCTGGAACATAAAATAAAAGTTGAAGGAAGAAAAGGATTCAATGACTGCCCCACTGGATTTTGGATTGGAATTGCATGGGGCCTTTAGCCCCTTTGTTTTGGCCAATTTCTTTCAATTAAAATGGGAATATTTATCCAATGCCTGTACCCACATTGTATCTTGGAAGTAACAAACTTGCTTTTGATTTTACAGTTTATAGGCGGAAGGGACTTGCCTTGTCTCAGATGAGACTTTGGCCTTGGACTTTTGGGATAATGCTGGAATGAGTTAAGACTTTGGGGAGACTGATAGGAAGACATGATTGATTTTGAAATGTGAAAGGAGCATGAGATTTAGGAAGGACCAGGGGTGGAATATGGTTTGGCTTTGTGTCCCCACCCAAATCTCAACTGGAATTCCAATCCCCAGGTATTGAGGGAGAGAGCTGGTGGGAGGTGATTAGATTATGGGAGCAGTTTTCATCATACTGTTCTCATGATAGTGAGTTCTCAAGAGATCTGATGGTTTTATAAAGGGCTCTTCCCCCTTTGCTCTGTCTCCTGCTGCCTTGTGAAGAAGGTGCTTGTTTCCCCTTCACATTCTGCTGTGATTGTAAATTTTTGGAAGCTTTCTCAGCCATACAGAACTGTGAGTCAATTAAACCTCTTTTCTTAATAAACTGCCCATTCTCAGGGAAGTCATTTATAGCAGTGTGAAAATGGACTAATGCAGCTACTGTGCCTATTACCTGGGAAATGAAGTGCTATGTACATGAAATCCCTATGGTACACAATTTATTTGTATAACAAACCTGCATTGAAAATAAAAGTTTAAACAAAAGTAGAAAACATCAAAGTCTGATATGTGTTTAGATGAGCATGTTAAGTGTGAATGCATTGCACAAGGCACTCTCATTTTTCAATATCTCTTACGAAAAGCTTTGTCCTTTCTTTCTTTCTTTTTTTTCTTTTTTTTTTTTTTTTGAGACGGCATCTTGCTCTGTCACCCAGGTTGGAGTGCAGTGGCATGATCTCAGCTCACCGCAACTTCCGCCTCCTGGGTTCAAGAGATTCTCCTGCTTCAGCCTCCTGAGTACCTGGGACTACAGGTGCGCACCACCACGCCCAGCTAATTTTTGTCTTTTTAGTAGAGATGGTGTTTCACCATATTGGCTAGGATGGTCTTGAACTCCTGACCTTGTGATCCACCCACCTCAGCCTCCCAAAGTGCTGGGATTACAGGCATGAGCCACCGTGCCCGGCCTGTCCTTTATAAGATAAGTGTTTCGTCCGTATGTACTTATATGGTTAAAGATTGGATTGCAATAGCCAGCATGGCATCCAGGTCTCATTACTGTTTGCTCAAATAAAGACATGATTCTCACCTCCTTTCTACAGGCACATTGAGTCTCTCTGTTCCCTGATACAACCTGAGGTAGTAAAAAGTGAATGCAAGAAGCTTAGGTTTAGGTTTTCATAAGTAGCAGAAGTGAGAGCTTGAGGAATCCATATAAGTGACTCTTGCATCAGCTTTCCAAATGGTGTGGAAAGAAGTTGCCTCACTGGAACTCAAATATGAGAAAGGCAAGAAAAATATGGAAGTCATCATGGGTCAGAAAAACCAGAGAGGATCAGAAAATCAAGAGCTACCTGTTCTGGTATTTAATCAAAGGTAAATAATCTTTTAAGGAAACAGTCCAGTACTTCTAATCTTTCTAGATACATTCATCCAACAAATATGTGTTGAACAACTAACATTGAGCTGCCACTTCACACCCACCCAGGATGGTTATAATAAAAAAATACATATAATTATAAGCATAAGTGAGGATGTGGCAAAATGGGAACCTTTATAGCATTCTAAGGAGAATGTAAAATGGCACAGCTGCTTTAGAAAAAAACTTCCTTAAAAGGTTAATCATAGGGTTACCATATGGTCCATCAATTGTACTCCTAGGTATACATTAAAAAAAATTGAAAGCATATGTTTACATGAAAATTTATATATAAATGTTTTTAGCAGCATTATACATAACAGCCAAAAAGTGAAAACTTCTTAAATGTCCATCAACTGATGAATGAATAAGCAAAATGTGGCATATTCATAGAATAAAGTATCATTTAGCCATAAAAAGGAACAATCTACTGATACATGCCAAACCACGGCTGAACTTTGAAAACATACCAAGTGAAAGAAGCCAGTTACAACAGACCACATATTATACGATTTATTTATATGAGATGTCTAGCAAAAACAACAACAACAACAACAACAAAAAACCTATAGAGGAGGAAATCTGACTAGTGGTTACCAGGGGCTGGTGGGTAGGAGATTGAATGGAAATAAGATGTGAAGTGACTGAAAATTATAGTGCTGACTGCACGTTTCTGAAAATATACTAATAATCCTTGACTGTACAATTCAAATGGGTGAATTGTATGGCATCGCAATTAGAACTCAAGCTGTCATAGAAAAAATGGTTTATTCAGCATTAATTTACTAACCACTAAAAAAATACTAACACAGGGGTTCTCAACCTTAAATGCACTTTGGAATTACTTAGGGAGGTTTCGAAACTTTTCAAGCCCAGATTCATTATGTCAAGATCTCTGGGAGTAAAACCCAGTCACCAATGTTTATAAAGCTTTCCAGGTGACTACTGTGTGTCACCAAGGTCACGATACATGCTATAAATGTGTGGAGCTTTGTAAAGTACTAAACTAGAAAGTGGCTGATTTCCTTATTTGAAACTTAGTTTCATTATTTGTAACTTGGACATAATAATACTTGCCCTTTTTGCTTACGACATGTAAGAATACGTTTTTTAGACCACAAAATTAACCCCCCAAATCAACTTTAAAAGTAAAATATTAGTGGTAGTAATATATATGAGTGCTCATTGTTAAATTTATTCAACTTTACTGTATCTTTGGAAATTTTCATAATAAGATGTTGAGGTAATAAATGTATTATGCCTCAGAAATTATGATAGATTCAGAAGTATAGCAGTGAACTGAACTAACAAAGTTCCTGCTCTCATAGAGCTTACGTTTTAGCAAGATAGACAAAAATATAAGAAAATATATGTCAGGTTTGATATGTGATTTGAAAAAAATTGTAAAGAGGATTAAGAGAATTGAGAAATGACAGAAAATCTTTTCCTATATTGTATCTTGGAAAGATTGATAATTAGACATTTAAATAGAGATTAATATTGCTTAATAATTATTCTGACTGCTACATTGGAGAAAGACTAGGAGGAGACAGTGATTGAAGCAAAGAAACCAATTAGAAGACTACATAATAGTTATTATAAGAGATTTTAGCGTGAGGCCAGGCGCAGTGGCTCACGCCTGTAATCCCAGCACTTTGGGAGGCGGAGGCGGGCGGATCACGAGGTCAGGAGATCGAGACCATCCTGGCCAACACGGTGAAACCCCGTCTCTACTAAAACAAATACAAAAAATTAGCCGGGCGTGGTGGCTGGCGCCTGAGTCCCAGCTACTTGGGAGGCTGAGGCAGGAGAATGGTGTGAACCCGGGAGGCGGAGCTTGCAGTAAGCCAAGATCGCGCCACTGCACTCCAGCCTGGGCGACACAGCGAGACTCTGTCTCAAAAAGAAAAGATTATAGTGTGAAAAGAAAATATCTTGGGGCCCCCAAGATCACTCAGAGCACTGAGATCACTCACCCTCAGAGCAATGAGTTGGAAAAGATGTGCAGGCTCCTGATCTAGGGGGGGAATAGGGCATGCATCCCTTCAAAGAGCCAGTCCAGAGAGTGTAGCATATCTTTCTGCTGCAGCCCCTGAACCTAACAGAAGAAACGTGGCTACAGTGCCAATGATCTGAGAGGCCCCCATCAAGGTCCAGGTGTGAAACTTGTGATGGGGTAATCTCTCTCTTCTCCCCATCAGAGAGCATAACTGCAAATGCAAGGAAGTACAAAAGAGCTGCATGGCTGGGTATTAACCTAACTACCAGTCATTACTCTTGAGCACCATATTCTGGATTGCAGCCCAAACTACAACACCCAAAATTTATCCTGCTAATATATAGACCTGTAAAACCAAGTGCAAGAACTTACCCACATATAAAGTTTCTGTACAGATCCCTAGCCCTCTGAATGCATCCAGAAATGAAGCCAACTGACTATACTCAACTCACACTACAGTTAAAAAAATACCAACCATCCCAGATGAGAAAGAATCAGTGTAAGAACTCTGGAAATTAGAAGTCCAAGGTGTCTTATTACCCACAAATCAGTCCACGATTTTCCCAGCAGTGGTTCTTAACCAATCAGAAATGACTGAGATGTCAGAAATAGAATTTAGAGTCCAGATGTCAAAAAAACACATAGGGATTCAGAAGTAAATAGAAACCCTGTCGGGCCTCTGAGCCCAAGCTAAGTCATCATATCCCCTGTGACCTGCACGTATACATCCAGATGGCCTGAAGTAACTGAAGAATCACAAAAGAAGTGAAATTTAAATGGCCTATTCCTGCCTTAACTGATGACATTCCACCACAAAAGAAGTGAAAATTGCCAGTCCGTGCCTTAACTGATGACATTACCTTGTGAAATTCCTTCTCCTGGCTCATCCTGGCTCAAAAGCTCCCCCACTGAGCACCTTGTGACCCCCACCCCTGCCCGCCAGAGAACAACCCCCCTTTGACTGTAATTTTCCTTTACCTACCCAAATCTTATAAAACGGCCCCACCCCTATCTCCCTTCCCTGACTCTCTTTTCGGACTCAGCCCGCCTGCACCCAGGTGAAATAAACAGCCTTGTTGCTCACACAAAGCCTGTTTGGTGGTCTCTTCACACAGACACGAGTGAAAAACCCAATCTAATGAATCTAAAAAATCCAGTAAAATGACTCAAGAGATGAAAGATAAAACAACCATTTTAAGACAAAACCAAACTGAATTTCTGGAGCTAAAAATATTTACTAAAAAACAATTCATAATACATCAAAAGTATTACTAAAAGAATAGAACATGCTGAGAAAAGAATCTCAGAGTTTGATGGTCAGCTCTTTGAATCAACTCAGTCTAACAAAAATTAAGAAAAATGACTAAAACCTCCAAGAAATATGGGTTCCTGTAAAATGACCTGTGAACCCCCAAAATTTGAGGCAGGTTTGAGTTAACTTAGAAAGTTTATTTTGCCATTGAGCTGGGCACGGTGGCTCATGCCTGTAATCCCAGCACTTTGGGAGGCCAGGGTGGGCAGATCACGAGGTCGGGAGATCGAGACCATCCTGGCTAACATGGTGAAACCCCGTCTCTACTAAAAATACAAAAAATTAGCTGGGCATGGTTGCACATACCTGCAGTCCCAGCTACTGGGGAGGCTGAGGCAGCAAAATCACTTGAAGCCTCGGAGGTGGAGGTTGCAGTAAGCTGAGATCATGCCACTGTACTCCAGCCTGGGTGACAGAGCGAGACTCCATCTCAAAAAAAAAAAAAAAAAAGAAAACGAATGTTTATTTTGCCAAAGTTGAGGATGTGTGCCCATGACATAGCCTCAAGAGGTACTGATGACATGTGCCCCAGGTGGTCAGAGCACAACTTGGTTTTATACATTTTATGGAGACTTAATACATCAATACACATAAAATGAACATTGGTTCAGTCCAGAAAGGTGAGACAACTCAAAGTGGGGAAGGGGTTTCCAGGTCACAGGTAGGTGAGAAAAAATGGTTGCACTCTTTTGAGTTTCTGATTAGCCTTTCCAAAGGAGGCAATCGGATATGCATTTATCTCAGTGAGAAGAGGGATGACTTTGAATAGAATGGGAGACAGGTTGGCCCTGAGCAGTTCCCAGCTTGAATTTTCTTGTTAGCCAAGACAAACTACTTTCTTATAGATTTTGGATATTAGACCCTTGTCAGATGTACAGCTTTCAAATATTTTCTACCATTATGTAGGTTGTCTGATTACTCTATTTTTTGTTTCTTTTGAAACAAATCAACAAGCAAAAAACAAATAACTTTGTTAAAAATGAACAAAGGACATAAAGAGACACCTCTGATAAGAATACATACAAGCAGTCAATAAACATATGAAGTAAGACCATCATCACCTTTCATTAGAGAAATGCAAATCAAAACCACAATGAGTTACCATCTTACACCAGTGAGAATGGCTATTATTAAAAACTAAAACAATGAGAAACCCTGGCGAGGCTGCCGAGAAAAGGGAGCACATGTATACTCTTCATGAGAATGTAAATTAGTTCAGCCTCTGCGGAAAGCATGTTGGAGATTTATTTTAAAACTTAAAACACAGCTACCATTTGACCCAGCTGCCCTATTACTGGTTATATGCCCCAGGAATATAACTTTTTTTTAAACAGAGTTTCACTCTTGTCGCCTGGGCTGGAGTGCAATGGCGTGATCTTACCTCACTGCAACCTCCACCTCCCGGGTTCAAGAAATTCTCCTGCCTCAGCCTCCTGAGTAGCTGGGATTACAGGCACCCGCCATCATGCCCAGCTAATTTTTGTATTTTTAGTAGAGACAGGGTTTCACCATGTTGGCCAGGCTCGTCTTGAACTCCTGACCTCAGATGATCTGCCAACCTTGGCCTCCCAAAGTGCTGGGATCACAGGCATGAAGCACCGTGCCTGACCAGAAAATAGATTATTATACCATAAAGATACATGCACGTGTATGTTCATTGTCATGCTATTCACAATAGTAAAGACATAGAATCAACCTCAGTGCCCATCAATGGTGTACTTGATAAGGAAAATGTGGTACATATATACCATGGAATACTACATAGCCATAAAAAAGTATGAAATTATTTTCTTTGCAGCAACACAAATGGAACTGAAGTCCATAACTGTAAGCAAATTAACACAGGAATAGAAAACCGAATACCGCATGTTGTCATTTACAGTGTGAGCTAAACATGTAGCAAACATGTACAATAACATGAGTGCAGTAGAGATGATGGAATACTTGGGGGCATGGGGGATGGGGGCCATGAGTTGAAAAAGTACCTATTGGGTACTATGCTCACTTTTCAGGCCCAATATACTCATGTAAATATTTTTAATATGTACCTACTGTAACTAAAATAAAAGGTGTTTTTTAAGGTGCTATAAAAATGTTCTAAAGAACAATAGACACAACTCTAGATGATTTATTTTCCAATGATAATTAATCATTTATTTGTTTTGTGCCAAAAGTCACAACACATCTCCTACAAAGTCATAATATTTGATAAATTTGCTATAATAGTAATATAATGATACCTTATGACCAATTTTTTTTTTTTTTGAGATGGAGTTTCGCTCTCGTTGCCCAGGCTGGAGTGCAATGGCATGATCTCTGCTCACCGCAACCTCCGCCTCCTGGGTTCAAGCAATTCTCCTGCCTCACCCGCCCAAGTAGCTGGGATCACAGACGTGCGCCGCAACGCCTGGCTAATTTTGTATTTTTAGTAGAGATGAGGTTTCTCCATGTTGGTCAGGCTGGTCTCGAACTCCCGACCTCAGATGATCTGCCTGCCTCGGCCTCCCAAAATGCTGGGATTACAAGTGTGAGCCACCACTCCCGGTCATGTTTTTCTTATTAACTCAGTATCAGGGTTGGTATAATATACAATTTTGAGACAGAGTTTGATACATTATCAAGTACTATTCAGTTTGGACTTTTTTTCAGTTTGGCTTGGACTAAAGGATAAAAGTAAAAGAAAAAAGGGCTGGGTCCAGTGGCTCATGCCAGTAATCCCAGCACTTTGGGCGGCTGAGGCAGGCAGCTCACCTGAGGTCAGGAGTTCGAGACCAGCCTGGCCAACATGGTGAAACCCCATCTCTACCAAAAATACAAAAATTAGACAGGCGTAGTGGTGCATGCCTGTAATCCCAGCTACTCGGGAGGCTGAGGCAGTAGAATTGCTTTAACTTGGGAGGTGGAGGTTGCAGTGAGCCGAGATCGTGCCACTACACTCCAGACTGGGCAACAGAGGGAGATTCGTTCTCAAAAAAAAAAAAAAAAAAAAAAAGTAAAAAAAAAACTATAACAGAAGCAGCAGTATTAAATGTAGCAGGAAAAGAAGTAACTAGCGAATACTGTTAATGGACAATATCTAGACTTAAACATTTCACAACTACAAGTTTTCAGGTAACGTATACTAACTTTGCCCTCTACTTTTCAAATGTTACTATGAAAGAGGTTGGTTTCCAGAATTTATTTACTGTAAGTTATTCTTATATACCTAAAAAAAAGTTTAGTGATATTTATTCTTACAGTGGAACTATGCAATATTATTTAAAGGAACAGAAAATATGATGTAATTTTCTTTATGAGTTCAAATAATTTAAATATGTCAATTGGAGGAAAAACATGTTGATCGTTTATTAAAGATGCATAAATATTCACATATACAAGTACTTGTTTCTTAAATCTTGATATTTAAATATATTGTAATTATATTTTCTCCTTGTGACTACACCTTGTAAGTACTTGAGGGTTCGTTTCCCTCATTTATAAGTCATAGAATGTCAAACACAGGCATAGTAATTATCAGCTTCCTTACCACCTCTATATATGTCAGAGATATAATGTATTTCTTTCAGTAACAAAGCTTTAGAATGCCAGTGATTCTCTAAAGGAATAGAAGGTAGGATGATGGGTGGAGGTGATAATGAAAGGAACTCCACCACTTTGGGAGACAATAGAGTCTCCAAGAGCTGTGGACTGGAAAAAAAAAAAATCCCAGATTATTATAATATGCTTCAAACTTCCTCCTAACTCTTGGTTGAGAATAATTGTTTTAAAGAATGTACTCAAATTTTAATGTGTACTCTCATTTATTCAGAATCCAAACATTTATACATTTTAAAGCATTAAACATTTTTAACATTTTAAGACATTAAACATTAAACATTTTTCATATTCTATTTCTATAAGCCATAAAGAAATGGTAATTAAGCGATTTATTATTAACAATATAGTTTTTAAATTACCTTCTGAAGTTGTATATAAGTCTATATCCAGTACCCTGTACAATAATTATTTTCAAATTATATTCAGTTTAATTTTAATGAGAACATTTTTATTTGGCTGTCTTTTCATTTTGAAATTATATATCTATTTATAGCATAAGATAACACTCTTGATAAAACACCGCTACTCAGACCATTTCAGGACATATAGGAATGCTTAAATAATTGGTTACTTCCTAAATCATCTGAAGGTGATATTAGCTATGATTTATTAAGCATCTATGATCTACCAGAAAATCAACTTAGCACTTTATTATTTTTATCTGTATATGAAGCTTTTTCAAGCACTGTTCAACTCTCCAATACCATCTAGGCATCCTGCAAATCAATTTAATTTTGATACTAACTGCCCAGGGTCGATAGAGAACCCACAGGCTGAGGGCTCAGTCCCACAAAATGATCACCACCTCAGACATCAGCCACAAGTCTTGAGTAGCCCCAAGTTAACTGCACTCTACCTAGCTTACTACAGATTTGAGAGTTCCCATGAATCTCTCCTCAAGTTCAATTATCTGATAGAATTAGGCACAGAAAGCCAGGCGCAGTGGCTCACTCCTATAATCCCAGCACTTTGGGAGGCAAAGACGAGAGGTTCACTTGAGGTCAGCAGTATGAGACCAGCCTGATCAACATGGTGAAAACCCATCTCTACTAAAAATATGAAAGTTAGCCTGGCCTGGTGGTGGCTGCCTGTAATCCCAGCTACTCAGGAGGCCGAGGCAGGAGAGTTGCTTGAACCTGGGAGGCGAGTTTGTAGTGAGCGGAGATCGCGTCACTGCACTCCAGCCTAGGCGACAAAGTGAGACTCTGTCTCAAAAAAAAAAAAAAAAGAAAAAAAAAAGAATTATTCACAGAACTCAGGAAAGTGCTGTACTTGTGATTGCAATTTTATTATAAAGAAAACCAACTAGGAATAGCCAAAAGGAAGACATTCACAGGACAAGGAAATGGGGACGAAGGGAAAACTTTCATGACTTCTTCTGGCATGCCACTCTCCCAGCACATATGCATCCATTGTGTTTACCAATTCAGAATCTCTCCAAAACTCATTGTTAAAAGATTTTTATCAAGGCCTTGTAAAATAGGCATGATTGATTAAATCATTGGTAATTGGTTCAAATTAGAGTAATTCACATATCCATAAACTCAAATATTTATTATTTCTTTGTATCGAGAATATTCAATTCTGAACTCAATCACCATCCCTCCTCCCATCCCTGGAGGTTGGTGGATGGTGCTAAAAGTTTCAACCCTCTAATCACCTGCATGGCCAGTCCCTCCCTTGAAAATATTATCTAAGTTCCCACAATGAGTTACCTTGTTCCCATAAACTCAGGTACGGTCAAAAGGGACCTGTTGTGAATATCAAAAGATGCTTTTATCACTCAGAAAATTGCAAGGGCTTTTGATGTACTGTGTGAGAAACTGGTGACAAAAAGCAAATATATATTTTAATTATACCACACTCTGGTAATACCAGCAACACAGTTTTAAGAGGCAAGTACTCTTAGCCAAATTTAAATATGAAAATTAAAGATCAGAGAGAAAAAATATCTTGCTGCTAACCATACAACTAGCAAGTGGCAGAGTCATGACTTGATGTCAAGTGTTCTGGAATCCAAAGACTTCCATTTGGTTTAGCTATAGCTTCCATGTATTTCAGAATTTTATAAAAGATTTATAATGACTCTAAAAATCATAAATATTGTTATATTTTATAAGGTGAAAAATGTGTATAACCCAACTATTATTTCTGATTGACTGATGAAGATGTGGCTAGACTATTGTGTTGAGAGAGATTCTGTGGTTCTAGAATAAAGTGTAGCAGCACAAATATCATTTTTTAACTCTGGAAAAAAATAAATTTAACTGTTTGCTCTTCTGTGCACTGATAATAACTTGTGTATATATATTATATTTTACATGTAAATTTGATTATCATTTCCTTAAGAGAAATATCTTCTAGTCATTAGCACAATGGGTGCAGTATCAGGAATGCTTAAATAAGATTTGTGGTTTTATCACTTACTATATAAGTGTACTTAGGATGTTTACTTAAATTCTCCATGCTTCAGAAAGATTTTTAAAATAAAATACACTAATAATATTGTGAAGATTAAATGAGATAATGCCTGTAAGGCAATTAAACATGGGATTTGCACTCCATAAATGTCAAGATCATTATTATCATCATTAGTTTAAAATCAACCTAATAAGTAACGTTGTCAGCAAAACAACAGACAAGGAAGATCCAAGACCCCATTAAGACATCAAAAGCAAAACAAAAGAAAATAAAATGGTTTAAATTACCTTATTGGAGGCCTGGGAAACAATCAGAGGTCTACAGCAACAAAGCAAATACTCATTTTTTTAAAAGCCATTTTAAAAAACAGTAGGAAATTTCATTGCATTTCTGGCCACCATGTCCTACACCCTGTCCAGCATGGTGTGGCTATCTAATTTCCAATTCCCTCCCTTGAGCCAGAGAGAGTAGAGCAGACCTTATTGGCTACTTATTTGAACCTCCCAGGTTCAAGCAACTCTCCTGCCTCAGCCTCCTGAGTAGCTGGGATTACAGGCAGCCACCACGATGCCAGGCTAATTTTCATATTTTTAATAGAGATGGGTTTTCACCATGTTGACCAAGCTGGTCTCGTACTCCTGACCTCAAGTGAACCTCTCGTCTTTGCCTCCCAAATTTAAAGTTTACAAGTTCAACCTTATTTGCTACTTTCTAATATGTCCAAATATATCAGCTTCTTAGAGCTTTCTGACATTTCAGCCATGTATTAGTCAAAGTGACATGATATTTAGAAGAAGATTTGTTTATTTCAGGCTTTGATAATTTCCTGTAAACTAATTGGCATTTGGCATCACATAGCTGAAAGGGGCATCAATTTAAAGATTACAAGATAAATCATTTGGGAACATTAGTCACTTTCTGAGTCACATAGCTATTTACGTAATTCTATAAATGTATTTCTAATAACTACCTGTTCAATGAAAATATTATCTAACTCTGGTTTCCTTTTATGGATTGATAATTACTCTATAATATCTTAATAATTAGGTGGCTAATATGCTATCATGCTATTTCCTTTTGCATATATTTTTACCTTTTATGAAATAGATTTCCTCCTTATATACAAATTTATAAGTGCATAATCATAGGCAAGATGTGACTTTACTGACTAAATCTGGTATCTACCTTTTTTAACTGCCTGATATTTTGTAAATTTATTTTTTACTTACATACTGTGATGGTTAATATTCAGTGTCAACTTGATTGGATTGAAGGATGCAAAGTATTGTTCCTGGGTATTTCTGTGAGGGTGTTACCAAAAGAGATTAACATTTGAGTCAGTGGACTGGAAGAGGCAGACCCACCCTCAATCTGGGTGGGCACCATCTAATCATCTGCCAGTATGGCTAGAATAGAGCAGGCAGAAGAAAGTGGAATAAAGAGACTTGCTGAGTCTTCTGGCCTTCATCTATCTCCCATGCTGGATGCTTCCTGCCCTCGAACATCAGACTCCAAGTGCTTCAGCTTTTGGACTCAGACTTATACCAGTGATTTGCCAGGGTGAAGGCTGCACAGTCAGCTTCCCTCCTTTTGAGGTTCTGGGATTCAGACTGGCTTCCTAGCTCCTTAGCCTGCAGAGTGCCCCGGGGATTCACCTTGTGATTGTGTGAGTCAATACTCCTTAATAAACTCCCTTTCATATATACATAAACCCTATTAGTTCTGTCCCTTTAGAAAACCCTAATACACATACTTATTATTTACTTATTTTTTTCAGTGTCTTTTGGAAAGGATGTCATCAGAAATTTCATACTTATTGCTAACTTGCATGTTGCCAGAAATGTCCTAAAATTGTTTTACAGATTTTTTATAATCTTTGTCTACTTTTGTTGTTGTTTTTCTGCCTAGCTAATCATTAAATGCACAAATTTATAGGCTGTAATATACGTTTATTGGTCAAAATTGAAGTACTAACAATTACAACCCGGTAGTTCTAAGAGGCTATTCTAGTGACCTAACATCATAAAAACTATTTGTAAATAGTTTCTCAGTTGACTTTCTGTCTCATACCTCATTGGCTGTCTTTTCTCACTCTTCTTGGCTATATACTCTTTCTCTTGCTGCTTTGAATGTTTAAGTGTCCCAAGGCAGAGTTCTAGGACTTCTCTATCTACATTCATTTACTAGGTCATCTAATTCAGCCCCATGGTTTACAAAACACCCTGTCTTCATGATTCCTGAATTCATATTTCCAGAACAGACCCTGCCCTTGAAATTCACATTACAATATTCAACCGGATACCCAAAAGCTTCACTTATACATATAAAAGTGACTTTAAATTTAACTTATCTGCAACTAAATCTTTGATTTCCTTCTAAATTTGCTCTGTTAACAGGTTGTCAAAGTTCAGTAAATGATATTATTAACTCATTCAGGTTCTCAGGCCAAAACATTTGAGAAGATCCTTGACCCCTTTCTTTTTCTCATCCCCCAAATCCAGTCCATTCTCAAGGCCATTGGGCTCAGCCTTCAAAGTGTGTCACAAATCTGATTACTTGTCACTACCTCCACTGTTACCACCCTAACCCAAGCCACCATCATATTTTACACAGAAAACTTCAAGAGCCTCCTAACTGTTCTTCCGTTGCTTACTCTTGACCCTCTTGACTATCTATTTTCAACATAGCAATTACACCAATCACGTTAAAACATAAGGCTTTCAGTATCTGTGACACAATAGGTTCTCTCACTGTAGGCCCTTGGAACATCATTTTTATTATTTGAAATATTATTTACCCCAGTCATGTTCTATTGGTTAAAAGCTGTACTTCCCTTGGCTCTCAGCTTGGCATCTGTATTAGTCAATTGTCCAGAGGGACAGAACTAATAGAACATATGTATATGTGAAAGGTAGTTTATAGGGAGAATTGGCTCACACAATCACAAGGCAAAGTCCCATGATAGACCATCTGCAAGGTGGAAAAGAAAGCAGCCACTAGTAGATTTGTCTGAGTTAAGACTAACAATTTATTATATTATCTCTAGACTTTTTTTGTTAAGGAAATGGGAAAAGAGATAAATGGTGTGCCATGAATTGAAGACTATAATATTTCAAATAACCAACTTTCCCACTTCCATTTCCAAACATAACCCCATCTGAAAGTTAAACATATCCTTCCTTTATAGACAATCGAACCTCTATTATGTTCCATTAGTTAAAATTCAAAAGTATAATTGCCTTTATGTATAGTTCATTGTGGACAAAGTATCATCTTGAATATATATGCCAATGAATGGATCCTGAGATATCTAATGAATTCTTGCCATTTTGAATATAGAAGCCATATATTATGTTATTTTTTACCTTTATAAGAGCATGACATTTATAAAAACATTTAATCTAGTATGAAAACATAAGTTAGAATGCTGGTCCATTCCTTTGTTATAATTGTTTGCTTTGAATCTCAGATTAAGTTAATTACATTTTTCATTTCATAGTGTACTACCGTTAATACATGAATTACTCTTCTATTTACTATTAACATTTTCTCTTTCTTACCATGTTCTTTCAATCTACCCTCCATAAGACTATTTACCTATTGAAAAAACCTCTAGAAAAACCAGTGTTTTAGGAAATAAGCATTTTTTTTTTACTTTACTTAAATGATCTCATGCTTTGATCTTTATTTTTGCCAATTTTCAGTGAGTTCCTTGTAATATTCTAGAGATTATTAATGCTTTGCCAGTGATTAATATTGCAAATATCTTCTCCCACTCAACCATCTTTCTCTTAATTTTGATTATGGCATCTTTTGCAGAATAGATATCTTGAGTTTAACATAGTCAAATCTAATAATGTTTATCTTTATGTTTGGTGCTTTTAAGGCTTTGCCAATAATAACTTTATCCACGTCTTCTTCTGGAATACAGGCTCTTCAGGTTTTTATTGCATGTTCCTTTACATGCCAAAGAAACCGACCTTGGCTTTTTCTGTTCTCACAGCAGGATCACAAAACTCTTGACAGGTCCTCTGTGCCTTATCGATCCACAGACACCATAGAGACATCTTTAACATCCTGCCAACTCCACACTCTTTCAAAGTTCTACTCAACAATTTATCAAACTAGTGTCCTCCCCCATAAATGTCCTACAGTTCACACAAAAGACACTAGCATCTTGAGGGAGGCCTTTACAATTTTCATTGACATCAGTCCTTTCAAGTTACTCCATGCAGCTAAAATAAAGCCATCTTTTCTCAATGTGTTACCGTGTAACCTAACAGAACCTTGCCCCTGCTTGTGGTCTCCTTTCCTTTACAGGGTTCACTCAGTATAAGCTTTCTCCATAACTCACAGACTTACCCACTAAGATAGGAAGGGTATTCCTACATGTGCACATAGCTGACCAAAGATGTGATCTCTGAATCTCAAATAGTCTTCATTCCCTTTAAGCTGATTGATTGAACAAAGGAAATAGACATCACATTCTAGGCTCTTTCAATTTGAAATTATATGACTTAACATATCACAATTCCCATAAATGTATTTCATTCACATTTTATCAAATTAACAATAGTAGCTCCTACAATTATACATAACTAGTTATTTAGCAGGGCTCCAATATGGTACACAAGTACAAACAAAATTGGAACTTAAGCTTACGGAGATCTGAAAGTTCCCTTGGGTTAACCTTTTAAGGAAAGAGATTATGCAGGATTACTTTCAAAGGGACTTCAACAATTTCACTTAAACATTTCATTTTTGTTTGAAATGCTTCTTCCGTGCCCTTAAAAAAATAGCACTTGAACATAAATTTAATTTATTTAGTAAGGCTATTTTTACTTCCTGCAGAAAGGGTACACTTGCCAGAAGTTTCGCCATGACAGTACACTGAACAAAGGAGACAGGGTCATTTATAACCTGACGCGTCCACCCTACTGCTGTGTCCGGTTTCCATTGGCTGGAAAGAGACCTCACATTCTGTGTTTGTCCCAACTGGCTAGCAACTTAGAACTTTTTAAAAGAGGCAAAAGGAGAGGAGAACAAAGGAAGGAGGAAGTAACTTGTGGAATGCTGAGAAGGGTAAAAGCACTTTTAAGTAAGGAAGAGGAACAGGCTATGACCTAATGCTTGCTTGGACCAGTATAAGCATGCCAGGGCAAATATTTAGGCTAAATTGTGGGAGCTAAGAACATAAAGTACATTGATTTCTTTATGACGGCTAGCAGATATTTCAGAATGTTAGCACAGGTATTTGAATACATTTTGCTTCTAAGAGAAGTTACTATTTATTCCTAATTAGACAGGGAGGAAAGTCTTTGAAGAGGAACCTCTACTTTACTTTTTACAATTTTCATTTTTATTTCATGGTATTTTCCATTTAAAAACTGATCATTATCTAAGACTAGTTTCATCATAAAAGAGTTTTGTTTTGCTCAGAAAGCACAATCTACTAGAAGGAGGTTATTACTTTATGATCAAGTAGTCACCAAACTCTTCTCATGCTGCTAAACAACAAATTATGTATTGAATGCCATCCTAAGTAAGCTTATAAATCTCTGCCCCCATTCTGGAATAGTTGCCTTTTGTAGAGGACACATACAATGAATAAAATCCCTACAAATTATGGACCCATTTCACCAACAGTGGAAACCATTCTAACTTGAACATACACACTCCCACATACACATCTGTGCATGCACACACACACCACACACCACACACACACACATACACATCATGTTTAAAGAACATTTTCATTGCTTTGAACATTTTTTTCTATGTAACTTCTCTTCAGACTTTATCTAAAAACCTGGCATCCCTTTAAACTTATTAATACTTTTTCCATCTTGGGAACTTGAGAGAATCCCAAAGATTTTTTATCTTATTACAGAAATTTAAGTTTCACAGAAAGATTCTAAATATTTTATATTAGCCAACCATTTAAAGAAGACTCTTCAACTGAAGATATACAAAATTCCTTAAAAAGAGTTGCTTTGATTAACCAAATCAGCCTCTTTAGAAATGTTTTATTCAAATTACATTTAAATGTCTATGCTTCATAGGCAAATGCTTTAGACACAGCAAATTCACCATAACTTTGCCTGTCCTTATACACACATCTACCACATAACAGGGCCTCCAGCAAGGAAAAGTAATAAACAGATTCAAGAAGGAACTCTTTGTAGTCAAAAGCTGTTTCTGACCTATGCTGCATATTCATGGACAAAATGAACAAATCTGATATTTGATGATATATTTGCTAGAATCTGGTACCATATAAGGAACTTGTTCATATATTACTGACATAGCAATTTCAATATGAGTTGTCCTGTCCTTCTACATATACCTGCCACATAATATGTACTGTAGATCACAATTATACACTTCTTGCTCTCAGGCACTTTTAGGTCTAGGTTGCATATTCCATATAAAAGATGGCATGTGTGACCGCTGATGTTCTCTTGCTCTTATCAAGAACATCAGACTGTTTACTGAGCTTTCTGAACTTTCCTGAATCAACAACATAGATAAGTCCTCTATATCACCCAGTTTTTAAGATAATTTCAAAGGTTTTCATGTAATTTCTAAAGCATAGGTATTTATGTTCATACCATAAACAAAAGCCCTTGAAAAGGTTCATTACATTTTTAATTGCACCCATTATTGGTGCAATTAAATTGCACCAATTAATTGCAATACTAGGTTCCCTTTCCCCATTTTGTGCTATGCTGTTTTTTACAGAGATCCCATCCAACAAATGAGATTCTACTTTGAATGCACCACAAGAAGATATTTTTTGCTTTTTGCTACATACCTATTTTGAGCTCATAAAGCAATTTCTGTTTCTCATGACTCATTAATTAAATTAAATTGAAAATGTCAATACCTAAAATTTCCAATGCTTCCCTCATATTTTTAAACAACTTGCAACCCTATTGTCCTCTCTTAACAGTTATAAACAGACCATTCCTTAAAATATATCTGTACCAAATATGAAGTCTTAATGATGTCCAGGAGAGTTTATACATGAGTCCTCAGAACTTTACAATAAACAACTCCTTAACAGGGTTTTCTTTTTTAATCTTACAATTCATAAACCACATCCACAAAAGAACAGCTTTGATTTATAAAATTTCACTTCTTCTGCCATCAGGTCAGGATATGTTCAGTTATGAGTAATAGCAAACTCAAAGAATACAGCTAAACAGAGAAGAATTTATTTTTATGACATGAAAAGAAGCCCAGTGGCAGGAAGTTCAGGGTTGTTAATGAGATTCACCAATGCCAACAGGGAGCCAAGATCTTTCCAACTTTCAATTCTGCTTATCTTAGAGTGTAAAGGCTTTCATGCTCAAGGGTATCCAGTAGTCATATAAGACCTGCTGGCTTTAAAACCAGTTAGACAGGCAAAAGGGCAAAAGGTGAAATGATGAAGAGATTCTTCCTAGAGACATGTTGCCTTTTTATTAAAAATGGATTTCCTCCCCAGAAATTCCTGCCTATATCTCATTGGCTAGAATTGTGTCACAAATTCACTGCAGCTTCAAGGGAGGCTGGGAAATTAGGTATTTCTATTTGGACTCATTTACAGCCTAAATAAACTTGAAGTTCTTTTAATAAAGAATGGAGTAGTGGTTCGAGTGCAACGGCTTACACCTGTAATCCCAGCACTTGGGAGGCTGAAGCAGGAGGATCACGTGAGTCCAGGAGTTTGAGGCCAGCCTAGGCAACATAGCAAGACCCCGTCTCTACAAAAAAAAAAAAAAAAAAAAATTAAAATTAGCCAGGTGTGGTGGCATGCGTCTGTAGTTCCAGCCACTTGGGAGGCTGAGGTGAGAGGATCACCTGATCCTGGGAAGCCTGTGCTACAATAAGCCAGGACTGTGCCACTGCACTCTAGCCTAGGCAACGTAATACGACCCTGTCTCAAAAAAAAAAAAGAAAAAAGTCATTGACTTTGGGTAGGGCCATCAATAATTTGATTATTTTGAAATTACAATGAAGTGATATAACAATGGTAGAGACTTACATATTAAAAATTTATGGCATTTCTTCCCCTTATGTAAACATCAGCCAGCCACGTATCAAAGCCTGTAGCATGCCACAAATATATAAATAGTTGGGGATTATAGATGTAGTTTAAAGGTACTTCATATTCCTGTCCTTTGTCTTTGACATGTAGAAGATAGTTGACATTGGTAGATACATTGCATTCATCAGGAATTGATCTTCAGTAGCCTTTATTTTCCTTTCCTATCACAGACACTATAGGAAATCATGAACTTTCATAAGGGCTTTATATCAGAGATTGTCAAACTTCAAAATCTTTCCATGTCTACTTGCATTTCTTTGCATATATTGGATATAATTATTGAGTATATATTGATTCTTTCTATGTCAGAATAAGGCACACCTGAAAATTTATAATTCTTTACTTTAACGAGTCAATATTTACAAGATTCTATTTCTTTCAACTTATGCAGGCAACAATAATGATTATTCTATAATGTGGGAGCAAAACAAATTATGACATAGTATATCCTGAAATTTACATACCGGTAATTTAACAGAGCCTCTATTATATTTTTCAATTTCAAGACATTTCAAACCCATGTGGTTCGTCTAATTTTAATGCTGAAATTGTGTGATCATTGACAGAATATTCCTGATAGAAAACAGATTATCTATCAGCCAGCTCCTCTAGACTTTACTAATGTAGTTACATGAAAAAGTGTCTCTACATCATGCTGATTATATAATTTTTATAAAACATCTTTATAATTAAAAAATAAAATATCTACATAAAATTATTTTTATTCAAGCCAAAACAAAATACCTTAAAATGGATACCATATTTGCAATTTTATCTATCATTTGAAGTTTCATTGTATAACTAAAAGACACACTACTCAAAATTGATGTAGTCTTGCACATTGTTATAGGTCCCTGTCCTGTCTTAGATTTTCTTGTACTTTGCCAAGAGAAAATCCAATAAATGTAATTCCTACAATTTGCAAACACATCATACTATTAAATTTAACTGCTAAGAGTTTTTCTTATGGTTGGGATTTAGATAGGATAGAAAAGATCTTTTATCTTGGGTTCACACATGAAAAACCAGACAAATTAAAACTTACCCCATAGGGCTAACGAAGAGTGGTGAATTTAACAATGTCTTGATGAACTGAATCCCAGAAAGAAACAAGCCCTTGGTGTGTAAACTGAGATTCATGGTAGCTTTTATACCTGGGGCAGGCAGCTAGGCTGGATATGATCATACTTGCCATTAATAGGCAGACTATGCCAGGAAAAAGGAAATCAAACATGCTTAAACAACAGTGGCCAAATCATGAAGAAAATGAACAATATTTTACTCTGCATCAAATAAGTTAGTTTAATTGAGATGCTTTCAGAAGGAGAGAAATTATACATTGGAACTTATAGATTCATTTATTGTTTTGGAGAGTCTATATATATTTGGGCTGATTAGTTACAATTTACTTAAAAAGTAGTAGAGTCCAAGATGGAACAGGAAAATAATAAAACTATTATTTCATGAAGAGAGTAAATTTCACAAAGATGCATATAAAAATAACTTTATGCCACAATTTTTCAATTTATTGAAGTTTAACTGACATACAATGAAAAACATATCTTAAGTATGCAGTCAGATAAAATTTTAATATATATGTGTATATTTGACATATATTTACATATATACACATGCACATAGTTATGGACGGAATTGCGTCCCTCCCAAATTCATATGTTGAAACTCTAATCCACAATATGAGTGTATTTGGAGATGTAGCATTTAAAGAGTTAAAGTTAAATGGGGCCTTAATCCAATATGGCTGATGTCCTTATAAGAAGAAGAAGAGATACCAGGGATGCTATCTTAGAATTGGCAAATATTCCAGATACTATTCCTGAGTAACAAATAACTCAAAATCTTAGTGGCTTAAAACAAGATTATAGTGCTCAAATATTTGCAATTTGTGCAGCATGTGACTGAGATTAGCTCATCTCTGCTCTACTTGGCATAAGGTGGAATGATTTAAAGTATGGATTTGGGGGCTGGATTTATCTAAAGGCTTGTGTATTCATATGTTTAGTAGTTGATGTGTGCTGCTGGTTGAGACCTATGTCTATTCTATGTTACCTGGGCTTCCTCACCACATGGTGAGTGGGTGACAAGGACTATCATTCCAAAATAAAGAGGAAGATAGAAACCATAATGCATTTTATAATTGTATTGGAGGTCAAAGCAGTATGACTTCCATCACATTATATTTTTTGAGGCAAAAGCATAGGCTTGCCTAGGTTAAAGGGAAGGGGAAGTATATTATACCCCTTAATGAAGAGTAGCAAAATTCTAGAAGAACATAAGAGAATGGATCTCTGATCTAAATGATGTGACAATTTTTGAAAAATACAATATGCCGTAGCAATTTTCTGCATTTGAAGTAAAATCTTCAAACATGTGTATATTAATTAATTTGGAGTAACCCTGAGAAGTGGGACCAAAAATTGAAGTGGAAAAAAAGCAAACTTATTATTTTGAGATCATACATTTTTTATATTTTTGAATTTTAAACATAATCTTCAAGCAGACTTTTTAAAAATTATGCAAATAATACTGGCATTGCTAAGTACAAGTATTACTGGAAGTCAATGCATACACAAATTGTGAAAGAAACTACTAGTTTTATAAATGGATAGAATCAATTCTACTGCTCTGATTTTACAAATGAGATAATAGCTACCCATTAATGGTGGCCATCTGCTGGAATTGTCAGATATTATCTACATTTTCAGATCATTGCTGAAATGCTTGCTCAGTTGCTTACTACACAGAACTGCTGTGCTCATAGATATATACTTACATTGTTGCTCTCAGGCCACAGTGTCATGTACCATATGCAAAATGTTTGCAGAACAGCAGTAGAGAACTGTAGAGAATGCGATAAAAGGTCAACTTGATTCGTTAACTTTATAGAAACAGGCAATGTGATTAGTAGGGCTGATCTCTAGAAGCAATTAATAAAGTTTACTTGCCTTGTGGAATTCATTAGGCTCCTTCACCTTCTTCTTGACTTCAGAGCCCTGTCAAAGGGATGGTTTCTTTTCTGACCCTATTTTCATTTCCAAAACAGCAATTCAAGGTTTGTCTGATTTTAATCAATATAGTAACATGACAAATATACCTAGAACCTTCTAGGATATCAATGTAAAGTACTTCATCCCATATTTCCTTCTTTCATTAAGAGATGTGATATTTAAAGCTAATAAGGTGATTTGGGAAGAAAAATATAGAAAAAAGGGCATGGATAGTAGTGTAAATATAAAAGGCCTAAAAAGTGTGACTAGTGAGATGTAGGGGGTTAGTAATAGAAGAAAATACTTCAGTTTCACTATACAAAGGGTAATCATACTACTCTGTACTATATCAGCAGTTCTCATGCTATTACAAGTTTTTTGTTTTTTTTTCCTCCCCCTAGGTAACTAGCACATTTACTATCATGGGTGACAATTTTTTGAGTTATGGCTGGAGAACCTGACTTGTGAAAGCTCCCTTCATTGTGCTGGAAGAAACTCAGCAGTGTGTCCCAGAGAATAATCCACACCAGTAGCATCCATTTCTCAACAGTGTAAGCAATTTCTAAAGGAAGTGTTTGGCAGTACCGTAGGTAGATGTTGGAAAATAAGTTAATGCAATTCTATGCCAAGCTGAGTTAATTCAGCACTGCAAACTTACATAATTAGGTGTGAACCCTAAATACCTGAGACAGGTCTCAGTCAATTTCAGAAGTTTAAGAAGTTTGTTTTGCCAAAGTTAAGGATGAGTGCCCACAACACAACCTCAGGAGGTGCTGACGACATGTGCTCAAGATGGTCAAAGCGCAACTTGGTTTTATACATTTTAGGGAGATAGGAGACATCATTCAATATATGTAAGATGTACATTGCTTCCATCCATAAAGGCAGGACAACTCCAAGTGGGGAGGAGGCATCCAAGGTAGATAAGAGACACAAGTGGCATTATTTTAAGTTTCTGATTACTCTTCCCAAAGGAAGTAATCAGATATGCATTTATCTCAGTGAGCAGAGGAATGACTTTGAATAGAATGGGAGGCAGGTTTGCCCTAAGAAGTTCCCAGCTTGACTTTTCCCTTTAGCTTAGTGATTTTGGGGTCCCAAGATTTATTTTTCTTTCACATAGGTAATAATAACCAATAATTGGTTGTTTTTTGTTGGCATATATGGCTTAAAATTTTAAGTGAAATAGAAGCATTTAGAAATATCAGCTTACTGTTACCTAAAATGGAGATATTAAATAAGAGAGTATTCTACCATTTTCCCATTCTATAGCCAATATTTCATATTATCCAATCAATTCAGACAAATGGGACATAATTACTCAAATTATTTTGAAAATACAATTTTTAATTACTAAATGACGCAAAACAGTTTTTTTTTTACTTTTTCAATGACTAGTAAAACACTATTTATAGAAATAGATATATACATGTCAAAGAACACTGTATGTAATACACTTAAATCCATTCCAGTGGTTTCTTGTGTGGTTTTGTGAAATAAAATAATTTTAACATATTTACTTATTTAAATATTCAACATGGTAAAATATTATCTTTTAATATTTGATGGAAGAAATTTCATTTCAGGATCAATATTAAATGTTACATATGATTTACTTTTCAAGTCCCAAAGTTTTTATTAAATGGCCATATTGTAGTGTCTGTTGTTCCCTTCTTTGTGTCCGTGGAGGGGGGGCTCAGGCATGGCAGGCTGCAGGTCGTGAGCCCTGCCCCACGGGGAGGCAGCTGAGGCCCAGCGAGAATTCTAGCGCACCCTCCGCAGCTTCTGGCCCCTCTCTGCCCCGTGGCCCGAGCTTCCCTGAAGGGTTCCAACCCTGCTCTGCAGCACCCTGTCTCATCAACCGCCCAAGGGCTGAGGAGTGCAGGAGCTGGCGGGCAGCTCCGCCCACGGCCCCAGCAAGGGATCCACTAGGTGAAGCCAGCTGGGCTCCTGAGTCGGGTGGGGACTTGGAGAACTTTTATGTCTAGCTAGAAGATTGTAAATGCACCAATCAGCACTCTGTGTCTAGCTAAGAGATTGTAAATGCACCAATCAGCACTCTGTGTCTACCTAAAGGTTTGTAAATGCACCAATCAGTGCTCTATGTCTAGCTAATCTAGTGGGGACTTGGAAACCTTTAGTGTCTAGCAAAAGGATTGTAAATGCACCAATCAGCACTCTGTGTCTAGCTCAAGGTTCGTAAATGCACCAATCAGCACCCTGTCAAAATGGACCAATCAGCTCTCTGTAAAATGGGCCAATCATCTCTCTGTAAAATGGACCAATCAGCAGGATGTTGGTGGGGTCAGATAAGGGAATAAAAGCAGGCTGCGCAAACCAGCAGCGGCAACCCGCTGGGGTCCTCTTCCACACTGTGGAAGATTGGTTCTTTCGCTCTTTGCAATAAATCTTGCTGCTGCTCACTCTTTGGGTCGGCACTGCCTTTATGAACTGTAACACTCACTGCTAAGGTCTGCAGCTTCACTCCTGAGGCCAGTGAGACCACAAACCCACTGGGAGGAATGAACAACTCCAGACGGGATGAACAAACAATTCCAGATGTGCCGCCTTAAGAGATGTAACACTCAACGTGAAGGTCTGCAGCTTCACTCCTGAAGCCAGCGAGACCATGAACCCACCAGAAGGAAGAAACTCTGAACATGTCCGAACATCAGAAGGAACAAATTCCAGACACACCATCTTTAAGAACTGTAACACTCACCCGCGAGGGTCTGCGGCTTCATTCTTGAAGTCAGTGAGACCAAGAACCCACCAATTTCGGACACACTACCTTACTTAAAATTATGCTACAAGGCTACAGTAACCAAAACAACATGGTACTGGTACAAGAAGACACATATAGGACAATAGAACAGAATAGAGAGCCCAGAAATAATACCACACCCCTACAACTATCTGATCTTCAACAAACCTGACCAAAAAAAGGAAAATATTTTCTATTAAACAAATAGTGCTGGGATAACTGGCTAGCCATATGGTGAAGATTGAAACTGGACCTCTTCCTTACACCATATGCAAAAATTAACTCAAATGGCTTAAAGACTTAAATGTAAAACTCTAAACTATAAAAACCATGTAAGACAACCTAGTCAATACCATTCAGGACATAGGCACAGGCAGGAATTTCATGATGAAGACACCAAAAGCAATTGCAACAAAAACAGAAATTTAAAAATTAGATCTAATTAAACTAAAGAGCTTCTGCACAGCAAATGAAAACTATCAACAGAGTAAACAGCATATAGAATGAGATAATTATTTTTGCAAACTATGCATCCAACAAAGATCTAATATCCAGCATCTATGAGGACCTTAAACAAATTTACAAGAAAAAAAAAAAAAACCCATAACAAAGTGGGCAAAGGACAAACAGACATTTTCTAAAATAATACTAGTTTACTTTAATATTTTTCTTTTGCATTGACCTTTGGTTAAAGTGATTACTGTGTGTCTTTGAGATGGTTGTTCTTTATAGGATCTCACAAGATTCTCTGAAATTTTGTTTAAAATTTGACCTCTCTGGTGAGGTTGGAAAATTTTTTATGCACAACATCTTCAAATATGCTTTGCAAGTTGCTTGCTTTCACTCTCTTTCAGTGTTGCCAATGTGTCATAGCTTTGGTCTCTACTTAATCCTATATTTATCAGAAAATTTTCTGATTCTTTTTTATTTTTTTTCTTTATTTTTATATGACTTAGTTGATTCAAATACCCACTCTTCAAACTGTGAGATTCTTTCCTCTGCTTTACCTATTCTGCTGTTAATACTTTCAATTGTAATATGAAATTATTGTAGTGAGTTTTTCAGTTCTAGAAGATCAGCTTGGTTCTTTCTTAAAATGACTTTTTTGTCTGTGAGTTTTTGTATTATTTTCCTGGATTCCTTGGATTGGATTTCAACTTAATCCTAAATCTCTATGATCTTCATTGCCATAGAGATTCCAATTCCTATGTCTGACATTTAAGCCACTTAAGGCTGGTTAAGAACCATTGCTGGGGTGCTAGTTCAGTCATTTGGAGGTAAAAGACAATGGCTTTTTTAGTTGCCAGAGATCTTGTACTGGTTCTGTATGAATGTTCCTTTAATTTTTGAAGTCGCTGTCTTCTGAATGGGGCTTTTAGCTTTTATATTACTTTATGCCCTTCAGTGTTTGACTGTGATATAAGTTGGGTTCAGTCAGGTGGCTTCATTTCTAGATAATTTCATGGGGCCCAGGCTCAGCTCAGCACCGCTGGGCTGCATGCTCCATCCCTGAAGAGCTGGGACCAGACCTACTGCTTTGTTCTCTTACCCCTTGAGGTTAACCATGTGCTAAGCTGGAGGGGCCAAGGTGTTCCCAGTCCACTGGCCATGACACTCAAATTGGAGGTGCCAAAGAAAGTGCTTTATAGGCGCAGTAGCAGTGAGGTCTGTTTTCATGCACATATGTCAGCAGCAGTGGGGCAGCAATGTAGCATATCCTGTGCAAACATTTTTGTGTGTGTGTGTGCGTCCTCGGCTGGCTTTGATATCTGGGTAATGCTGGTCTCATATAATGAATTTGAAAGTGTATTCTTCTCTCCAAATTTTTCAGAGTTTGAGCCAGAGTCATGTTCATTCTTATGTAAATGTTCAGTAGAATTCATCAGTGAAGCCATTTTGTCTAGGACTTTTCTTGCTGTGAGGTTTTTGATTATGAATTATCAATATATGTACATTTTTATTCTTTATTGTTTTGATAAGTTATGTGTATCTAGGAATTTGTCCATTTCATTTAGATTATTCAGTTTGTTGGCATACCATTGTTCATAGAACATTATTTTAAGCCTTATATTTACTAAATCTTTATTTTATTTATTCCATTTATTTTATGAAGTCAGTAGTAATGTACCCACTTTCAATGCTCATTTTAGTAGCTTGAAAAATCTCTTTTCTTATTAGTTAACTTACCTAAATGTTTCACAACTTTGTTTATGTTTTTGAGGAACAAACTTTTGGATACAAAGATTTTTCTATATTGTTTTTCTATTTTCTCTTTTTAATTCCTCTGCTATCTTTATTATGTATTTTTTCTACTACTTTTGGGTTTAGTTTCTTCTTCTTTTTGTAGTTCCTTAACATATGAAGTTATGTTGTTGATTTCAGATCTTTCTTCTTTGATTTAATGCAATTATTTACAGGTATAAATTTTTCCCTTAGCAATGCTTTTGCTGCACTCTTCTTATTTACAGTTCTGTCTACCCTCATTCTATGGTATTGATTCCACAAATGGTATTTTTAATATATTCTGTGCCCACCAACATGTGTTTATAATTTTTTATTTATCCTATATAAAATAAAAAGTGAAGTTACAAATAAAAATTACAACAATACTGGTTTTTGTATTTACTCATGTATTTACCTTTGGTGAAGATATTTATATTTTCATAAATCTTTAATTTATTATCTAGCATCATTTTATTTCAACCTGAGAGACTTTCTTTAGCAATTCATGTAAGGAAGGTCTAGTGAAAATAGCATTTTTCAGTTTTGGTTTACATGAGAATGTCTAAATTTTCTTCAATTTGAAGGGCAATTTTGTCAAATATAAAATATCTCATTAGACAGTTTTTTTCTTCCATACTTTAAATGCATCATTCCATTGTCTCTGTTCTCCAATGTTTCTACTGAGAAATCTGCTGCATCTTTTATTGAAAAATATATACCCATTGTATATAAGTCCCTTTCCTCTTGCTGCTTTAATATTTTTCCTTTGTTTTTGCCTTTTGATAGTTTGATTATCATGTATCTTATTGTGGGTCTTTATGGGTTTACTTACATAGAGTTTGTTTAGCTTCTTGGATTTGATGCTTTATGTCTTTCCTCAAATATGCAAAATTTTGGGCCATTCTTTCTTAAAATAAGCACTCTTCCCCTTTCTCTGTCTATATTTTCCTAGAACTCCCATAGTGCAAATATTGTTTTGCTTAATGGTGTTCTATATTTTTTTAGGCTCTGTTCACATTTCTTCATCCTTAATTTTCCTTTTGATCCTCAGACAGGAAATTATCAAATATCTTATCTTTTATTTCATTAATTATTTCTTTAACCTGTTTGAGCCTGCTGCTCATTCTCTCAGGGAAATTTTTAAATATGGTGTTATATTTTTATCTTCAAAATTTTTGTGTGGTTCCTCTTCATAATTTATATTTCTTATTGGTATTCTCATTTATAGATTATTTTCCTGGTTTTCCTTAGTCCTTTGTTTATGTTTTTTATTAGCTCTTTGATTATATTTATAATTGTTTTATGTTTTTTTGGCTGGTAAGTCAGATGTGTGTCTATTTTTCAGAAAAGATTTCTGCTATTTTATTTTCTTCCTTTGAACAGGGCATGTTTATGTTTCTGTGTATGCCTGTGGATATATTTTGTTGAAAGTTGGGCATTTTTTTAAAAAATCAGTCACCTCTCCTAGTCTTTTTGAACTGGCTCTGTGCCTGGAAAATATCCTTCACTAATTAGCTGGGCATGTTCTAGGCTGTGTTAGATCAGGTTGTCCAAAAAAAACAGGACCATTAGGAGATACACACACACACACACACACACGCAAAATTTATAAGATATTGGCTTACAGTATTATGGCTTACAAAATTATTGGCTTACAGAATTATGGAGACCAAGAAGTCCTGCAATCTGCCACATGCAAGCTGGCAACCCAGGAATGTTGGTGGTGCACTTTGAAGGCCTGAGAGCCAGAGAGCCAATGGTGTAGATTCTGGTCCAAATTTGAAGACCTGAGAATTAGGAGCACCAAGGGCAGGAGGATATTGATGTCCCAGAGCAAGCAGTCAGACAGAGAGTGAATTCAAGCTTACTTTGCCTTTTTGTTCTATTAAGGCTCTCAAGAATTAGATAATGCCACCTATGTTAGTGATGGCAATCTTCTTTACTCACATCACCAATTCAAATGCTAATCTCTTCCAGAAGCACCCTTAGAGATATGCTCAAAAATAATGTTTAAGAAGTTATTTGGGCACGTCATAACCCAGTCAATTTGACACATAATATCACCCATCACATATGTCTTGTGATTAGCCAAATTGGAATGATTAAGGTCTCTCAGACATTTTCTAAGTATACATCTTTACTGGCCTGTGTGTGGCTTTTTGATTCTCTATATACATGGCTACTTTTAAATGTCTTAATCTTCTAAAGTGTTTTACCTCAGCCTCCTCTTGGGCCTTAGATCATCTATTCCAAGTCTCCACCCATAATCTCTTGCTGCAGGCATCTGTGGGTCTTGCTCACTTTGAAGATTTTCCAAGAAGGGCCCACTCAAATAACCTAGAATTGTGTGTTAAGATTAAGCAGCCTCTAAGCAAGTTTTTAACACCAGAAATGTTATAATAGAGCACTACAAACACCACTTTACTTTCCTATACATCTGGAAAATGTGGCTAATTTATCAGAGCAATATCTCTCCTCAGAAGCCAAATATGACTTCACTGTTCCTCTCAACATACTATTTTAAGAAGCCATTCACAATAAGTAAAATATGTCATAGGAGATGAAACTTCATTTCTAGCCTTAGTATAATGACTTCCTTTTGAATACAATTTATAAAGCCAGCTGACTTAACCTGATTTACACCTGTTGGCTAGTATTATTCTGATTGAAATTATGTTGATTGGCCAGTGCCTTTATAATACTGGCTGTTAAATAATTAAAGTATCACTCCTGCTATACTACTAATTTTATGCATGAGAAAATGGAGGCTGAAAAGTTTAAGAAACTCTCTCTGGTCACTGAGTCAGCAGCAGCATAAGCTTGGAATCTAAAACCCTGACAAGAAGCTTTGAATTATCTCTACTATATAGGTGGTATAAATAAAAATTTTAACCTAAGTCAAATAATCCTCAATTCTGAACTTCTAGATATTTAAATACAAAAATTCAGATAAGTCTAAAATTATTTTAGAAATACGGGAATTGTGAAAACGTCTTTTTAAACTACCATTACAAAGTTTGAATCTACCAAAAATGAGATATTTCTAAACTTAGGCCCAAATCAATTTTTGCCTACTTTGTATTGTCTCTCTTGGGATCTGGAGGAGGTACTAAAGGCAAGCTGATTAATTTATAGTCATTGGAATATCCTGTGGTGAACTGAACTATATTTTCCTGACTCCAACAGTTCCACTGGTTTTATACAGGTACTACCTGTATTTGATCATGTTGCAGGCTCAATAGGTTTAATGAATAATATTCTAGATTCATACAGCATGGGGAATTCATCCTCCAGAGGTGATCAGATAATAAGAATGAATTTATCTTTAGAGAAATCACATTGCCCACCATGGTCTTGGATTATGGTAGCTGCTTTCTGGCAGATAGCAAAAAATAGTTTGCTCAAGGTGAATTTAAGAAATTAAATTACTTGGGAGAGTTCAAAGGGAATAAGATAAAGTAAAATATGAACCTACAAGCTTGCTAGCATTTCAAGACTTTGAAAGAAAATGTGTTTTTAATGAGATATGATCAATATGATAGCTTAAAGTTTTAAGATAAACTCTTCTGCAAATTATGATTCTAAGAACTTCATCTGAGAAACAACAATGCATGTTTAAAGTGAGAATGTTTAGAATTATTTTTCTCTCGCAATTTTTTTTTCTGTTTACAGGTCAGAAGTGAAGACTGTTTAAAATAAGCTTGTGAGAGTATTGAATGTTGGAGATTTTAGGGAACACTTGCTGACAGATCTAAGAACAAGATAGGAGGAATCAAAATACCTATCAGGGGAAGCACTTTTATTTCTACCATCATCTTTTCTTTGCTCCATATTTCTGAGCTTTATGGTTCATAAGAAAACAGCATAACTGGGTAAATGAACAAAATTCATTAAAGTGTAGATATAAATGTATAAATAAGTTCTAGGTAAACCGATTACTGATCTTAGTAATATGGACATCAATAATATGCATAAGGGGCTTCACCTGGAGCAGAGTGTATAATTAGAATATGGAGCACAGATATTCATGAGGCTGGCAGAAGGAGTTGACAGAAAATATAGAGGCGGGGCAAAGTAAAGAAAATCTCCAACTGGAAATATTTAATGAAGGCAAAAGATAATCTCTGATACGATATGCTCTTTTTTACTTACACATATAAAACCCATATTGTTTCTGAAAGACATTTTGCACAACGTTATTTTTGTGAAAGGAAAATATCTTGGACTCCCACAATAACAAAGCTAAAGGGAAAATTCAAGCTTGGAACTGCTTAGGGCAAACCTGCCTCCCATTCTATTCAAAGTTATCCCTTTGCTCACTGAGATAAATGCATATCTGATTGCCTCCTTTGGAAAGGCTAATCCGAAATTCCAAAAGAATGCAACTTTTGCCTCTCACCTACCTGTGACCTGGAAGCCCCCTCCCCACTTCAAGTTTCCCTGCCTTTGCTTTAAGTTATCCCGCCTTTCCAGACAGAACCAATGTGGTTTTTACATATATTGATTGATGTCTCATGTCTACCTAAAATGTAAAAAACCAAGCTGTTCTCTGACCACCTTGGGCACATGTCATCAGGACCTCCTGAGGCTGTATCATGGGCGTGTGTCTTCAACCTTCACAAAATAAACTTTCTAAATTAACAGAGACCTGTCTCAGATTTTCTGGGTCCACATCTTGAATTCACTCAATATTCCTGTCTCTTCATTATAATTCACGTTGTTTTTGAAATGCTTTTTCTTTAATTTATTTATTTGGGGCACTTGTAACTATACTTGTGTTTTCCAAGGTGTTGAAAGCTATTTTTTCTTATCATCTGCTAATGCAAATAAACACATCTGTAATTCAGTTTGTCACAGAAAAAATTAAATTTTATTCTTCTTGGTATCTCAGGGTTGATTAAAAGTTTTTAAAGAAAATATTTATGGTCTGGACATCCGAAAGTAATGCCTCCATTAAAAGCCATACCCAATATAGGACATTTGAATTTAATTTGAATATAATTTATTTTTAAAATTAGCAAGGAGATTAATTTTAGCTACTGTGTTCTCTCAAGTATAAGGTATTTTTAATTCCACATACAACCAAATTTGATGATTTTTGTTTTGCATTGTTTACTCTCTAATTAAAAAGGAAATATCTAAAACGAGGTATTCATTCAAGTGAATATAATCACAGTTATAAATAATCAAGCTATTTTTACAATATCATAGTACTGAATTTTGCAAAATCCTCAGTTAGTGTTACAAAAATTATTAGTTGTTACATAAGAAAACATGATCAAATCCCTAGGTTATATTTCTGAACTAGAACAGATTTTGTCCTTCTGTTTTCTTCTGTACTTTGATTCCTTAATGTTATAGTGATAAGCTGATACTTGAGATATCATTGTTTGAACTTGTTCTTCTATGATAACTAGCAGTATGCACAATATTTTTAAAATTAGTTAATTCCTATCTGCCTGTCCTCTAGAAAGCATGACTTCAAGGCACCCCACTTACTAATTCTATATAAAGTGCCTCCTTTTCCACTCCTGCCTATGTAACCTTGTTGTGCCTGCTCTTTCTGGGAAAACACGTATTCACTTTTTTAATCAGAAAAAGTGCCCTTATCCAATTGGGAGTTACAATTGTAATTTTAAATAAATAAGTAAAAACACCAGATTTTATTTTTTTATTTTTTTATTTTTAAGTAAATATATATATATTTTTAATCCAGTGTCACTGTATGATTTTTTTCTTTCTTTCTTTTTCTTTTTTTAAAATTATACTTAAGTTCTGGGATACATGAGCAGAACATGCAGGTTTGTTACATAGGTATACACGTGCCATGGTGGTTTGCTGCACCCATCAACCCGTCATCTACATTAGGTATTTCTCTTAATGCTCTCCCTCCCCTAGCCCCCCACCCACCAACAGGCCCCAGTGTGTGATGTTCTCCTCCCTGTGCCCATGTTCTCATTGTTCAGCTCCCACTTATGAGTGAGAACATGCAGTGTCTGGTTTTCTGTTCCTGTGTTAGTTTGCTGAGAATGATGGCTTCCAGCTTCATCCATGTCCCTGCAAAGGACATGAACTTATTCTTTTTTATGGCTGCATAGTATTCCATGGTGTATGTGTGCCAATTTTCTTTATCCAGTCTATCATTGATGGACATTAGGGTTGGTTCCAAGTCTTTGCTATTGAAAACACTAGATTTAAAATCAGTGATTTTGTATAAGTTATCTTTAAATAATTCCTCAATTACTAATCACCATAGGATGCACATGAATACAAACATATAAACACACACATTTTAGATTTGAAAGGTTGATTCTTATCTAGTGCTGGCTATATGCTAGATACTGCTCTAAAGTTTTACATGTAGGTACATATATTAACCCAGGTAATCTTTCCAACAACCTTATGATGCAGATACTATTAGTATTTCCATTTTATAAATGGGAAACTGAGGCATTGGGAGATTATTAACTAGTTGAAAAGCATATACTTACAAGTGATAAAACTAGAATTAGACTAAGGCAGTCTGGCTCAGAAATATAGAAACAGATCACAAGAGTCAATGAAAATAAAATAAAACTGTATAGATTTACAAACATAGGTATAGAGATAAGGTCTGATGTATTTCTCCACTTTGGTCATTCTTACTGTTTGATTTGGCATGAATTTTGTGTCTCCCCAAAAATCTTGAAATCTAATTCCCAAAGTGAGGAAGTGAGGCCTTTTGGAGATGATTAAATCATGAGAGCAGGAACCTCATGAATGGAATTTGTCCCCTTATATAAAAAAAGAAGCCCCCAAAGAGCTGCCTTGCCCCTTCTGTGATCAAGAAAGCAGGCCCTTATCAGACAGCAAATCTGCTGTCCCCTTGACCTTGAAATTCCAAGGCCCCAAAACAGTGAAAAACTAATTTCTGTTGTTTATAAGCCACCTAGTTTATGGTACAAATGAAGACATTGTTGTTTGTTTTTGTTTTTCTCATCAATAGTCCTTCCATGAAGAAGGAAAATGATGCTAAATTCTTGTAAGTGCATAAAAGTTATTGCTCAGCTTAAGTTATAAGCCTTTCTTGACATTCTCAAAGCTGTAATTTTACCAGAGTAAACCACAGAACCAAAAAGATGACAATGTGAAGTAAAGAAGATTGTCACATGCTGGAAGTATGGCCTCTCTGATAGTTGGAGAAAGAACATGGAGATGTAGAAATAGAAACAGGAATGCCGGACGCAGTGGCTCACGCTTGTAATTCCAACACTTTGGGAGGCCGAGGTGGGTGGATCACCTGAGGTCAGGTGTTCGAGACCAGCCTGACCAACATCGGGAAACCCCGTCTCTACTAAAAATACACAGGTTAGTTGGGCATTGTGGCCCACACCTGTAGTCCCAGCTACTCGGGAGGCTGAGGAATGAGAATGACTTGAACTTGAGAGGTGGAGGTTGCAGTGAGCCAATATTGCACCACTGCACTCCAGCCTGGGCAACAGAGTGAGACTCTGTCTTCAAAAAAAAAAAAAAAAATAGAAACAAGAAGGAAGAAAATAATAGAATATAGAATTTCAGCTGTGAATTTCCTAGGTTACGATTTAAGGTTAAAATAAAAGAAAGAGAGGCAGAGAAAGATAAATGAATAGTAGCCTACATCATTTGCCCTGCTCCCCCTCCAAACACCAAATTTTAACAACTTCACACAGAAAGCACCATCAGAAGAAATAAAAATTAGGTGAACGAGCACAGTACTTGGTTTTAACTTCACATCACTGAAAGACACACTGAAAAGAGCGGGGAAGACAATCTTGAATCACCAACATCACTTGTTTCCCATCCCATGGCAATAGCTGTGCAGTGCAGAGAACCTGTGCACTTGGCAGAGGGAGAGTGCAGCAATTGTGAGGCTTCACCTTGAACTAAGTTCTGCGCTGTCACAGGAGAAAAGAGAACTGGTCTGTACTCAACTGATATCCTCCAATGGAGGAAACAGTTGGACCAGCCCTAGTCAGAGGGGAATTGCCATCTCATCACTCAGAGTTTGAGTTCCGGCAAGCTTCACCACTGACAGCTGGAGTACCCTGGAGCTCTAAGTAAACTTGAAGCCTACAAAGACAGCAATTCCTAAGCAAGTCATAGTGCTGAGCTGGACTCAGAGGCTGTGGGCTAGGGGAACACTAATGAGAGACCAGTTAGGGTGGCTGAGGGAATGCTTGCACCATTCCTACTTCACTCAGTGGTAGTTGCCACAAGGCATAGATAAATCAGGACTCTTGGTACAGAGAGAGCACAGTGACTGGCGGACTTTACATTGAACTCGCGGCTTCCCAGTCAAAGAAGATACCTGGCAGGATTCATCACCTCCTGACTAAAGAGACCCTGGGCCCAAAATAATCAACATCGATACCCAGTTAATATGCTATGGGCCTTGGGCTCTGAGAAGTGCTGGCTTAAGATGTAACCCAGCAGATTTACAGCAATGTTTGCTATAATTAAAGACTCCTTTTGTTTGAGAAAAGCTGGGGAAAAAGTAATGAGGACTTTGTCATGTACCTTGGGTACCACTTGAGCTATAGTAGTAGAGCACCACCACTCTTGGTGTCCCTGAGTCCAGGCCTAGACTCTCTTCAGCAATGTTTATGGACATTACCTGGGCCAGAGGGGAGCCCACTGCCCTGAAGGGTAAATTCCAGGCTTGGTAGTATTCATCAAAAGGTGACTGAGAGTCTTTGGGCTTTAAGTGAACATCAGCAGTGGACTGGAAGTACCCTCTGTGAATCAGTTGTGGTGCTGGCCACAGCAGGAGGCTCCTCTGCCTATGAAAAGTGGAGGAAAGAGTGAGAAGGACTTTGTCTTGTGGTTTAAGTACCAGCTTAGCTGCAGCAGAATAGAACTCCAGGTAAATTTCCAAGGCTTTTTACTTCAATACTTGGCTCCCAGACAACATCTCTGGACACAACGGTGGCCTGGAAGAACTTGCAGCCCTGATGGAAGGGACACAAACATGGCTGGCTTTACCAACTGCTAACTATAAAGCCCTAGGGCATTGAGTTAACTTAGGTGGTAGTGAGATAGTGGTTACAGGAGGCCTTGAGAGAGTCCCAGTGCTGTGTTTGCTTTAGGTCTGAACCAGCAGAGTCCCTGTGGTGGTGGCCACAGCAATGCTTATGTCCCCATATTCCCAGTTCAAGGTGGCTCAGCAGAGAGAGAGAAAAAGACACTTTGTTTTTTTGGGAGAAAATAAGGTAAGAGAACAAGAGATTCTGCATTATGGTAATCCAGAGAATTCTTCTGAATCCTTATACAATACCAGCAAGGCGGTATCACTGTGAATGTGCAAGAACCACAGCATTATTGAGTTTGGGGCCCAAGTTTCTTCAAATACCTAGAAAGCCTTCCTAAGAAGCACAAACAAGCCCAAATTGCAAAGACTGCAATAAGTGCCTAACCCTTAAATGCTGAAACATCAATGAGCATCTACAAGCATCAAGACCAATCAAGAAAAAATGACCTCGCCAGACAAACTAAATAAGGCATCAAGGACCAATACTGGAGAAACAGAGATACGTGACTTTTCAGATGGAGAATTCAAAATAGCAAATTGAGAAAACTCAAGTAAATTCAAAATAACCCAGAGAAGGAATTCAGAAATCTATCAGATAAATTTAACAAAGAGATTAAAATGTATAAATAGAATCAAGCAGAAATTCTAGAGTTGAAAAATGCAATTGACATACTGAATAATGTATCAGTCTCTTATTAACAGAATTGATCAAGCAGAAGAAAAAAATAGTGAGCTTCAAGACAGACTGTTTGAAAATACATAGTCAGAAGAGACAAAATAAAAAAAATTAAAAGAAGCATGCCTAAAGATCTAAGATCTAAAAAATAACCTCAAAAGAGCAAATTTAAGAGTTACTGGTCTTACAGAGAAGGTAAAAAAAGAGCAGTAAAAAGCTTATTCAAAAGGATAATATCAGATAAATTCCCAAACCTAGAGAAAGACATCCATATTTAAGTACAAGAAAGTAATAGAACACAACCCAAAAAGAAATACCTCAAAGCATTTAATAATCAAACTTCCAAATGTCAAAGGTTTAAAAAAAGTCCTAAAAGCAGCAAGAGAAAAAAAATAAAACCTAATAACATACAATGGAGTTCCAATACATCTGGCAGCAGACATTTCAGTGGAAACTTTACAGGAGAGGTGAGAGTGGTATGACTTATTTAAGTGATGAAGAAAAAAAACTTTTATCCTAGAATAGTATGTCCAGCAAAAGCCTTATTCAACCATGAAAGAGAAACAAAAACTTTTCCAGACAAAGGAAAGCTGAGGGATTTCATCAACACTAGACCAGTCCTATAAAAAATGCTAAAGGAAGTTCTGCAATCTGAAAAAAAGCATGTTCATGATCAATAAAAAATCATCTGAAGGTACAAAACTCACTGGTAATAGCACAGGGTAAAACACATAATACTATAACACTGTAATTTTGCTGTGTAAAACACTCTTACGTAGAAAGACTAAATAATGAAACAATTAAAATAATAACTGATTTTTCAAGAAACATTGCAATAAGACATAAAGAGAAAAAATAAGAAGTTAAAAAGTGGAGGTGGGGAAAAACTTAAAGTGTGGACTTTTTATTAGTTGTCTTCTTACTTGTTTGTTTATGCAATCAGTGTTAAATTGTCACCAGTAAAAATAATACAGTATATGCAAGCCTCATGGTAACCTCAAATTGAAAAACATACAATAGATAAACAAAATATAAAAAGCAAGGAATTAAATAATACCAGCAGTGGAAATCACCTTCACTAAAAGGAAGACAGGAATAGTGAGAAGACCATAAAACATACCAGAAAACAAATAACAAAATGGAAGGAGTAAATTCTTACTTATCAATAAAAACATTAAAAGAAAACGGACTAAACATTTCAATCAAAATATAGAGATGGCTGAATGGATAAAAAAAGGAAGACAAAACAATCTGTTGCCTTCAAAAAAAACATACAATGCTTATAAAGATACACATAGGTGAAAAGTAAAGGGATGGAAAAAGATATTTCATGTCAATGGAAACAAAAAAAGAGCAGCTGTAGCTAAATGTATATCAGACAAAATAGATTTCAAGACAAAAACTGCATGAATGACAAAGAAGGTCACCACATAGCATTAAAGGAGTCAATTCAGTAGGATGACATAACAATTGTAAATAAATATGCTCCCAACACTGGAACACAGAGATATATACAGCAAATATTATAAGAGCTAAAGAGATAGACCTCAATACAATAATAGCTGGAGACTTCAAGACCTGACTTTAAGCATTGGACAGACCTTCCAGACAGAAAAAGAAAAAACAAACAAACAAAAACCATGGGACTTAATCTGCACTATAGATAAAATGAATCCAGTGGATATGTATAGAACATTTCATCCAACAGTTGCAGAATACACATTCTTCTCAGGACATGGGTTATTCTCAATAACATGGTAGGTCACAATGCAAGTTTTAAAAGATTCAAAAAATTAAAATAATATCAAGTATTTTATCTGACCACAATGAAATAAACCTACAAAGCAATAAGAAATATTGAAAACTATACAAACACATGGAAATTACACAAGACGTTCCTGAATGGTCAATGGGCCAATAAAGAAATTAAGAAGAAAATTGAAAAATTTGTTGAAACAAATGATAATGAAAACACATTCCAAAAGCTATGAGATAAAATGAAAGCAATAAGGGAAATTTATAGTGATAAATACCTACATCAAAAAAAGAAGAAAAACTTCAAATAAATAATTTAACAATGCATGTTAAAAACCTAGAAAAGAAAAAGCAAGCCAAAACCAAATTTAGGAAAAGAGAAATAACAATAAAAATAGGAGCAAAAATAAATAAATTCAACATGAAGAAAACAATACAAAAGATAAAATGAAAAGTTAGTCTTTGAATAGATAAATACAATTGACAAATCTTTAGCCCAACTAAGAAAAACAAGAAAAGGCACAAGTAAATAAAATTAGAGATGTAAAAAATAGGCATTACAACTGAAGTCAAAGGATCATTATGGCTACTATGAGCAACTGTATGCCAACAAATTGGAAAATCTAGAGGAAATGGGTAAATTCCTAGACACATATGATCTACTAAGTTTGAACCATGAAGAAATCCAAATCCTGAACAGACCAACAAGTAACAAGATTGATGCCATAATAAAATGGCTTCCAGTAAATAAAAGCCCGGGACCTGATGGCTTCACTGCTGAATTTAACAAACATTTAAAGAATATCAATCCTACTCAAATTATTCTAAAAATATAGAGGAGAAGGGAGTACTTCCAAACTTATTCTATGAAGACAGTACCACACAGATACCAAAATCAGTCAAAGACATATCAAAAAACAGAAAGGTACAGGCCAATATCTCTGATGATTATTGATGTAAAAATCCTCGACAAATTACTAATAAACCAATTCAATAATACATTAAAAATCATTCAAATGACCAAGTGAGATTTATGCCAGAGATGCAAGGGTGGTTCAACATATACAAATTGATCAATATAACGTGTCATTATCAACAGAAAGACAAAAACCATATGATCATTTTAATTAATATTGAAAATGCATTTGATAAGTTCAAAATTCCTTCATGATAAATGCCATCAGAAAACTAGGTATAGAGGAAACATACATCAACATAGTAAAAGCCATATATAACAGACCCACAGCTAGTATAATACTGAATGGGAAAAAAGTGAAAGCCTTTCCTTTAAGACCTGGAGCATGACAAAGATGCCCACTTTCACAACTGTTATTCAACACACTATCAGAAGTCTTAGCTAGAGCAATCAGACAAGATAAAGAAATAAAGAACATCCAAATTAGAAAGGAAGAAGTAAAAGTAGTATATTTATTTGCAGATGATATGGAGTTATATTTGGAAAAACCTAAAGGCTCCAACAAAAGCTATTAGAACTTGTAAACAAATTCAGTGAAGTTGCAGGATACAAAATTTACATGTAAACTTAATAGCATTTCTTATGTGAACAGTAAACAATCTAAAACAGAAATCAAGAAAGTAATCACATTTATAATAGCTACAGATAAAGTTACGTACCTAGAAAATAACCAAAGAAGGAAAAGATCTTTACAATAAAAATTGTAAAATGTTGAGGAAATAAATTGGAGAGGATACAAAAACATGCAAAGATATTCCATGTTCACGAATTGGAAGAATCAATATTGTTAAAATGTCCATACTGCACAAGGCAATCTACAGATTCAATGCAATCCCTATCAAATTACCAATGATATTCTTCACAGAAACATAAACAATGAATCCTACAATTTATATGGATCCACAAGATTTATATTAGCCAAAAGTATCCTGAGCATAAAGAACAAAACTGGAGGAATTGCATAACCTGACTTTAAATTGTACTATAGAGCTATAGCAACGAAAATAGCATGGTATTTGCATAAAAAAAGAAACATAGGTCAATACAACATAATAGAGAACCGAGAAAGAAATCCATAGACCTAGAGTGAACTAATTTTCCACAAATATGCCAAGGACATACACTGGAGAAATGACAGTCTCTTCTATAAATCGTGCTGGAAAACGTGATATCCATATGCAGAAGAATAAAACTTGACCCCTATCTTGCAGCTTATACAAAAATAAAATCAAAATGCATTAAATACTTAAATCTAAGACCTCAAACTATAAAACTAGTACAAGAAAACTTTGGGGAAACTCTCTAGGACATTGGACTGGGCAAAAATTTCTTGAACAATACCCCACAAGCACATGCAACCAACGCAAAAATTGATAAATGGGATCAAGTCAAGTTAAAAAGCTACTGCACAGCAAAGGAAGCAATCAACAAAATGAAGAGAAAACCCACAGAATGGGAAAAAGTATTTGCAAACTACTCATCTGACAAGAGATTAAAAATATAAAAGGAACATAAGCAACTCTAGGAAAAAAATCTAATAATCTGACTTTTAAAATGGGCAAACAATTTGAATAGACATTTCTCAAAAGAAGGAATACAAATGTGAAACAAGCATATGAAAAGGTGTTCAACATTATTGATAATCAAAGACGTGCAATTCAAAACTACAATGAAATATCTCATTCCAATTAAAATGACCTTTATCCAAAAGACAGTCAGCAATATATGCTGAAGAGGATCTGGAGAAAAGGGAACGCTTGTACATTGTTTGTGGGAATAAATTAGTAAAACCACTATGGAGAATGATTTGGAGGTTTTTCAAAGAACTAAAAATAGAACTACTATAATGTCCAGCAATCCCATTGATGGGTATATACCTAGAAGAAAGAAAAATCAATATCTAGAAGAGATATCTGTACTCTCATGTCTGTTGCAGCACTGTTCTCAATACCCAGAATTTGGAAGAAACCTAAATATCCATCATCAAATAATTTGATAAAGAATATACAGTACCTACACACAATGGAGTACTATGTAGCTGTAAAAAATAATGTGATTCTGTCATTTGCAACAACATGGATGGAACTGGAGGTCATTGTGTAAAGTGAAATAAGTGAAGCACATGAAGACAAAACTTTGCATTTACTCACTTATTTGTGGGAGCTAAAAATCAAAACAATTGAACTCATGGAGATAGAGAGTATAATGATGTTTATTAGAGGCTGGGAATGGTATTGGGAGTCTTGGGAAGAAGTGGAAATGGTTAATGGGAACAAAAAATAGAATTAGAAACAGTAAATAAGACCTAGTATTTGATAACAAAACAGGATGACTACAGTCAATAATAATCCAGTTGTATATTTAAAAATAAGTAAAGGGTATAATTGGATTGTTGTAATACAAAGAATAAATGCTTTAGGGGCTGGATACCCCATTTTCCATGATGTGATTATTGCTTATTGCATGACTGTATCAAAGTATCTCATGTACCCTTTAAATATTTGCAGCTACTATAACTGTGTATGCACACAATAAAAATAAAACAAAAAGAAATAAAAAGCAAAAGTTAATATAAAGGTACACAAATGAGTTTTGAAAATATAATAAAATTCAGCTCTTCTGCCCACATCATGAGTATTCTGGAAGCCTGTGTTTGACACTGTTGAATTCAATATGGCACAGACACAGTAGTGTAGCTAGAGCTGAGACAAGGGTCTGGGTTCACAGATCTCAGCGAAAGCCTCAAGCTCCTACCTGATGCAAAGAAAGCAGCCAAAAAGTCCTCGGTTTCTAAGACAGCTGCCAAGTTGACTAAAAGGGTGAGTATTATAGCTTTGCCTTGGCCCATAGCAAGGTAGAAGCAGGGGGGCTCAAGTAAACTAAAAACAATACAGTGAGTACAGAGAGATGATATCAAATGACTCTTCCATAATTCTATGAGAATATATAAACTGCTCTTGTTCTCAGATGCTATCTTAAAAGAAACAATTGCAGGTTTCTGCAAATGGTTCTTATTCTTTGAATGGAACCATTCAAAGAACCATTTCATCTTATTCAAAGAATAAGAAACCCCAAAGGCTAGATCTTATCATCAAATAAATAAGGTTTGATCTACACAGTGCTTGTGATAATATTTGAATTTTGGAAAAAAAAAAGACTAGATCAAATTCAATATGACAAATTGGGGTAGGATACAATGCTTTTGGAGACTAGCAGCTTGACAGATTTTTTTTCTTCAGTTACATAAAATAAAGAAATGTTTATTAAGTTTTATTCATCAAGTTTAGAACATTTGAATTTCAATTAAGCCCCTATATGGAAAATCAGGCATTCAAGAAAAAAGCCATACAACACATGCTGTTTAGATATATTTTTCTGCGTACTCTGGAGTGACTTAGGCTTTTTAAAATAAGACTCTAGTGTAGCTGTGCTAAGAATATGCTTTTATCCCTGGTTAATATCCTTGCAGCAAATCTTTATTACACTAAAGACCTGTGAATTGAGTTCAATACGGGAGGAGAAGTTTCAGCAGAATGTTTCTTCAATAAGTCCTTGCTGTTTTATTTCAAAACCAATCACCTCATTTACTGCAGATCAAGTCAGGCTTCTCAGTTTCGGCTATTTACTTAATGAAGCATTGTCATGTGTTGGCACTGGTCACTAGCATGCAGTCGGACATATGAGTTTTCAGCATGACTATAGAGTGACAAATCAGGCCTTTGTAAATATTTCCTGTATCCCTAATTAGATGTGAGGATTAAAGGAGAGGGAGCAATCAAAAAATGGCTTTGGAGTTTGAGGCCCCAAAATTTGGGAAAATAATTGTGGAAGTAACAAAAATGAGAAAGGTGGGAAAGGAAGCACTGTGACTACCCTACAACAAACAGGTAAACCTCAAGATTTTTGAGAGCAATAAAGAATGTTTTCCTTAGAAGAAACATATATGCCTTCCGGACTCATGAGGTAGTCCTTTGTAGACACTTACGCCAGCAGCTCTCCATTGAACTCATATATTATCATAGCTTTTCTCCCACCAGACCTGTATTCTTCAACAGAGGTATGGGTACACCTACAATTTTGGAATGACCTGGTCTTTTGCTGTTTAAGTGATACCTTCCATTTTTCTTGTTGTTAGACAGTATTAAATTAAAGCCAAGTGAGATGTAAAACTTGCCAGATGTTGTTGTATATTAGTTTGTGCTCTCTCAGGAGCGCGTAGGTTCTCAGTGATAATCACACTATTTTCTGTGAAAATTGTCCTTAAAATTTTGACTGAATAGATTGTGTTTCTCCCTATTTTTCCTAGATATAAAAAGCAGCATAATCCTTTGATGAAATGACCATTATTAACTAGATACTGGCTAATTAGGGCCTTGAGCATATCTGCGGGATACACGATACTGATAAAAATATAGTTGAGAACAGTGAAGGAGTATATGGTACTTTTGGCATTGCTTCTTCTGATGTTATCCCCAATTTCTTCAAAATGATTGTCTAGCTCAGACATGTCCTTATTTTCACAAATGCACTTCTCTAAAATAATAGATGGTTTATCAATAGATGAAGTATATTTGTCTTCCCTGACATTTTTCTAAAAGAATATTGAATCATGGGCAGGGCATGGTGGCTCATGCCTTTAATCCCAGCATTTTGGAGGCTGAGGTGGGCAGATCACTTGAGCTCAGGAGTTCGAGATCAGCCTGGGCAACGTGGTGAAACCTTGTCTCTATAAAAAATACAAATAATTAACCTGGCGTGGCTGCGCCTGTAGTCCCAACTACTCAGGAGACTGAGGTGGGAGGAGCACTTGAGCCTGGGAGGCAGAGGTTTCAGTGAACCAAGATTGCACCACTGCATTCCAGCCCAGGTGACAGAGCAAGAACCCTGTCTCCGCAAAAAAAAAAAAAAAAAAAAAAAAAAATTGAAGCCTGCGGCTAACTATGTTCCTTAAAGTCCTGAAATTGGGCAGCAGCCAAGATATTTTGTGAGGTGTTTGCCCTCAGCTTCTTGCTTATTCTGTTTTCCTTTATTTGGAAAAAATTATATATATATATTCCAAATAAAACCGAATAAGCAAGAATAATATACAATAATATACAATTTATATATATATAAATTGTATATTGTTATACATGTATTTATATGTATATAAAGCAATATTCTTGTTACTCCTAGGGATGCCATTCTCTTTGAACTATCTCTACTATCACCTCATCTCTATTACTTGTGGGTGGAAGGAGTGAAAGACATCATCCCCATGGATATTAATGAGCCCAGCTCTGTGACTACCTATCCTACATTGAGCCCCAGCCTGCAGAGGAGATCCACCCCTCAAGTTCTTAGGAAAGCTAGTGCCTCTCTCCTCAGTGCATACCCAGTGGCTTCAATGAATGGTGTGTCCTCTGGGTCCTCCAATGGAATATAATACTCTGCTAGGTCTTCTGGCTTCACATAATGTATCTATTCCAAACTTTCCATCTCCATAGGCTCTTTAGTTCTTCCTTTACCACATGCCAGCACAAATCAGACATTTCCACTTCACTCAGCATGGATCACCACTTTCTTTAATTTTCTAGGGACTATCTTAGCTGTATGTTTGCCTTACTAGGGACCCTGACAGGCAATAAATTCTGTATCTTGAGAGAGGTCCTCAAAGTCAATAGCCTTATTTATCTAGTCTTATAATCTGTCCCCACTGATCAAGCACTCTAAAAATCTAAATCTATGTGTATCCCCATGGAATGTCAATAGTAGATTTATGCTGTGGATCATCCCTAATACTTGGCCTGGCATCTACAAAAGATCTAGGTGCAGTTTCGGAGGGGAACTGTATCCTTCCAGGGAAAACAGCTCTGTAGTATCTTCCCAGATGGTGGGAATTGTAGTCCTTAAGAAAATCAGTGTCACTGTTGTGGGTCCTGAGGAACAGAGGTGCCTAAACAGTAAAATTCTTCATGGCTAGCTACTCAGTTGCCCCAATACAATGAGTCCTGGTCTCAGATTTTCTCAAGAAGTCTCCAGACTTTGACATAACAGAACTCAGTTATGTATTTAGTAACCATTTTAGCTTTGTTACTGTAACTATTATACCTGAGCTTTGTTTGTAGTTTTTCTGTTTTTCCTCTATGGAGATAAGGGCCACTTGGTGAACTGCCAAAAAGGCCCTTTGGTCTTTAGATTTAATTTTTAATTGTATATTAACTACTCTTTTAGAGCATCAATGCATCTTAGTTAAAACCAACAAATTCTACTGTACTTTTACACATAATTTCCCCAACATCTTTACTTTTCAAGAGGCTGAATCATCACATAGGTGAAGACAATTTCATCCACTGGAAACTTTCTCCCAATTCACCACTGGTGAATGTCTGAGAAACTGAGCCATCATCTTGTGTTAGTGACTCCATGCCTCACATACCTCCTGGAATAAGGTACTAATTGTCAATTCTCATCTTATCAACTGCTTTTTTAGTTCACTTCAGTCACCAATTTTGTCTGTCAGTTACCCTGTAAGGCAGATGCTGAGGTAGATTTGGAGTGTCAAAGTGAAATTTGGGGGTGTGGGGTAGCAATGTCTGTGTGTGATACAATGGGAAGGAAGCAAAATACAATATTCTTATGATTGCCTGTGGATGGAATATGCATGGAGGGAAAGGCAGGAGGAAGCAAAATTGGGTAGATACTCTTCAGACTCTGGTGAAAGGTTTTGACCAAACCTATAGAGTGACCTGCAGCAAATACTGCCCCTTAATGAAGCATCTCATCAGGCAGATATACCTAGGCCCTCGACCGGTCATGCTCAGTTATTGCTTGGGGGCTGCCTGGAAAGAGGAAAGGCATGGCTCAAACGCTAAGCACATCCAGAAGACACTGACAAGCAGAGGCTGTCAGAAAAAGGCATTTTTGTAACTGAATTGCAAATCTCTTCTTGAACAGTTTGAACTGTGCACATCCATGATTTTTTTTTTTTAGCGTGCTCAATTAATGAGGCCTCAGCAGCAAAAAAAGGTAGAAGAGAAAACATGCTCATAGAATAGTTGAGTGAGAACTAAACATTAGGAAAAAATAATATTAGAGATAGGAGATAGAAGGCAAATGAAATGTATAATACTAATAATAAAGAAGCCATGGAACTATAGATAATAATATTGTGTTATATTTTAGCTATTTTCTATGTGCTTTCTATTTTCTCATTTAACGCAATGATCACTGGATATAGAGAAAATAGGCAACCTGATCAAGGTCACAAAATTAAGGAGTGATTGCTCCAGGATTCAAACTAAACAGTCTAACTCCACATCACATGTCCTAACCAGTAGGTGATACTCTCAATGTATATTTTCGTATATGAAAATAAATTTTTGCTTTTTAAATTCTTGTTGTAAATATATTTGCATATATATATATAATGTATATATGATTACCAGTCTAGAAATATCAACATATATAAAAGCATCACAACTTTCAAATTTTATATTTCCACATGAAGAATAGTCATATTGGGGTCATCAGCTTTCATAGAAAATATAATAAGCCTATTAAAAGTGATCTCATTTATTTATAGAAAAAATACACATTTAATAGATTTTCCTTGAACTTTGGATAAAAACAGTTTTCTATCCCTTTCATTATTACTGAAACTATCCAGAAATCTTCTAGATATTCTTTGGAAATAGCAGTTCTACAGAAATATTTTATCTACACTATATCTAGCTATTAAAATCTTTCCAAAATCCAAAAGTGATTCTTCACAAATTACTACCAAATACTTTCAATTTTCTTTCTGGAGGTCATAGAAACACTATGAAATACAAATAATGTTTTCCGAATGTTTTCACTTAATCCATCAAGATGTATTGCTTAGCAAAAAATGCAATGTTTTCAAAATACTTTTAATTGAACCAGAAACACAAACACAGCTTACATGTTGTAAAATGTATACAAGCCTGAGCTATGTAAATATTATTATCTAATCCAAAATTTCCTCCTCTTCCCACCATCTGCAAGTTATGTTATAGTAAAGCACCAAGAAAAGGGTGTTAACTTGGAGTGTTAATTCTTGCTTTGTTTCTGTCTAATAAACTCTTTTAAAAAATAGAAAAACATAGATCTAAAGAGAAGACATATGAAGTATCTCCAAGCATTCAAAACAGATTTTTATCCACTTGTGTTGGAGGGTACCTTATAGCATATCAGTAATGCAGATTTTCCTTTAAATAAGAAACACATAAGTGCATAAAATATGCCTTATAAAGCATTTTACATCAAGCTTGTATCTCTTTTGATGCCCATTATATAAGTTAAAGTACATCTTAAAGGCCTTTTTAAAAGATAAGGAAAATATTAGTTATCTCTTTTTTCAACTAGTTGGGACAGTTACTCCAGTCCATCCTCTCACATGTCAATTTATCCTGTGGAAGTTGGGCAAAAGTATCACACCTGAGATTATCCAATGACCATTGCCTATAATGAGGCAGATAACTTCTTGATAACTAAATGTAATTACTTCTTTAGTTAAGGCATTGCAAAATGGCCATAAAATGGATTATATATAGCCCAGTGATTGAATGCTAATCTTGGAAAAAGAGGCGAAGTATCTGGGCATATGTTATGCTTGAGGGTGATAATTTAGCGTGTATTGTTAAATTCAAAGACTTATGTTAACTGCATGGCTTCTCAACATTTGAGCTTTAAATATCTGTTTTAATTTTATAAGCAAAAATAGTAGGAGGAAGAGAAATGGGATAAATAGACTCAAAAGAGACAAACTGAAATTATTTTACAAGTAGCATAAGATAATAATATAAATTCAAGAGGAATCATGGGGGAAATTGAGAAAAGGATCCAATGGAGATACCAAACTATAATATTTAGAACAAGAGTATCTGAGGGCAACGTTATTTAGTAGTACATCAAATCAACTCGTTTCATATTTTATAGTGATTGCCTTTTTGTATGAAGTGAGTTTATTGGGGATGTCATAAGAATAGCATGACAACTTACTAAAATTCTTAAATTTAGAAAAATAATGGAGCAAAAATGACACTGGAGGAAAATTCTATTATGTAATACATTTGGATGAATATGTTCAGTTTTATATACATTACTTTCTAACGCAGGGTGAGTAAATACACCATATGTATTACTCCCTATTTTGAACAAATGACAGATATACCAATCAATTATGACCATTTTTCTCACTAAAATCGAAAGCAATGTCTTAATTATTTTTATGAGAACTGCAGGCAACCATTATCAGTAATTTTGAACTTGCACATAAGTTAAAAACTACTTGTCATCCCTCATCTAATATTTTATTTTAATTTTTTCAAAGTAAGTTTATATTGAATGGCCTGACCAGATTGGGTATATGCAATTAGAAAATATTTGGAGTAACAGATGCATTTGCTGAGCAATACGTGTGTAACTAACTCTTAGATAACGTGTATTATTTTCACCTATGCTATTTACATGTATATTTGAACAACTTTCATTCTATTAAACTTCACTGGGCTTCAGTAAGTTTCTATTATACACAAGTTTTCCCTGATTTGAGAGACAGTATATTTCTTACAGCAGATTATTAAACAGGTTGTCATAAGGCAAAATATTGGCTCCATATATGTTATTGTTCAGGCATGAGGAAAATCTGACAGAGAGTGAGTATGTTGAGCAAGAAGAGAATGAAAAGGTTAACAGGAAGCATTTAAATTCAGGCCTGCCCATATTAGTTATAGAAAGATTTGAATATTTTATACCTGAATTCTCTCCATTTTCTTTATTTCTGTTAAAACACATAGATTATATGAAATTTCTCCTCTCTCTCTCTCACTTTCTCTCTCTCCCCCACATCTTCCTCTCCCTTTCTTTCCCCCATCCATCTCTTTTTGCAATTCTGCTGAAAGAGGAAATTTTCATCAGAGAAGTGAAACATCTATAAAACCAAGAAAAAACGATTAATATTGAGGTGAAATATGTCGAATATCGTTGCTGTAAATAAATGGAAACAGACGTATTAGGACTCTGCTTGTGATCTGAGGCCATAAGTTCACATTCTGAAGGATTAACAACTAGGTAGTGCTCGCTTATATTTGGCAATTTTGATTAATCAACCATACCTTTCTTTTTAGATAAAGCCACAACAAAGCTAGAACTATAAAATATATTTTAAAATTGTTAAGCTTGTTAGTATTCAAATGACATGTGTGCAGCAAGTTCTTAGAAGATATCAAGAATGATATGAGAAAAATAAAATGGATTTTAAGTTTCTAAGCTTGAATAAGGATCAGACATCTATTTTTAAATGTATATAATTATATTAGCTCATTTTCACACTGCTGATAAAGACATACCCAAGACTGGGCAATTTGCAAAAGAAAGAGGTTTAAGGGACTTACAGTTCCACATGGGTGTGGAGGCCTCACAATCATGGTGGAACAAAAGGAGGAGCAAGTCACATCTTACATGGATGGCAGCAGGCAAAGAGACAATGAGAATTTGTGCAGGAAATCTCCCCCTTATAAAACCTCAGATCTTGGGAGACTTATTCACTATCATGAGAACAGTATGGGGGAAATTGCCACCATGATTCATTTATCTTCCACCGGATCCTTTCCACAACATGTGGGAATTATGAGAGATATAATTCAAGATGAGATTTGGATGGGGACACAGCAAAACTATATCAATATATTTTCTCAGATATGGGATAATAATCTATGATAGAATCTTTTCTTGCCAGCTGCCTGTTTGGAGCCTATCATTTGCTGAGCTGCAAAGTATGAATACTTACATTCAAAGGCACTGCTTTTTTGTTAACCTCTCAGTTTACTATAATTTTTCAACAAGTCTGTAATGAATCAGTCTGTTTCCTAAGACAATTGTTGAGGTATTTGAGAAATTTGATCCTGTTTTTCTACATTTGCTCAGGAGTTCCTCAGTTTCTGATTAATGGGTATTCCAAGGCACTATGGGGAAAGTAAAATTTATTTTTATATTTTTAATCTCATCTTTATTCATATAAAAGATAATAACAAGGGAAATGTCTTACCTTCTGGTTGGCTAATTTGTCTTACTTGCCCATGAAATATTTATTTTATTTAGCCCCAGACCCAGATGTGTTTTAATGATTCTTTTACTTCACAAAAGGCACTCTTTTTCTTTTAACCTTTGTTAAAAGAAAAACTTCAGCCAAATTACATTTAAAAGAGTATGATTTAGCAATGAATTACTTGAGAATCAGACAGCCCTCAGAATCACAGCAGAGTCAGAAAGACACCAGTGCAGCCACATGGTAGAAGAAGATTTAAGGACAGCAAATGGAAACTGAAATACCAAAAATGGAAATGAGGTACAGAAAGAACTGGATTGGTTACTGCTCAGCATTTGCCTTACTTGAACACAGTTTGAGTAGTTGCCTACATTCGATTGGCCAAAACTTAGTGATTGGCACAGGTGTGGGCTGTGGTTCATTTGCACCACCAGTTGGTATAGTTCATGATGTACAGAAAAACCATTAGGCTGAACTTAAATATGTAAGGAGGCAGCTTTAGGCTAAACTTGATTTAACAATTTCCCCTTTAGGTCATTTTCTCAATTATAAGATATTAATAACAACTTTAGTTATTGATGTCAATATCACCATTGGTTTTGAAACCCACTGGGAAACAGTAGAACAGTGAGTTTTGCAAAGGTGAGAATAAGAACTGAGTGGAGAGTACCTCCTTATGATAGAACGTCCTGTTTGCAGGAGAAAAACAAAACCTTGTCTGTTCTAGGATCTGTGTGTTTCCTTAAAGTCTTAGTTTGATTATGTCACATTTAGCATGAGGGACTCAATTTTTGTTTGGTCTGTTAGGGCCTAGTGAATGAATAAGCTCACTCCAAAACAATGGCCTCCCATAATTTTGTTCAAAAGAAAATTCTCCCTTTTTGGTCAGGTTCTTAATTAGGTGAGAGTGTGACCGAAATTTAGGGCCTCAGCACCACTCTCAGTTACCATCATTTTGAGTTTTCAGTCTCGGCATGTCATTCATAGGTTAAGGTGTCCTCGTGGTTGCACATTTCTTTCAGCTCTTGTCATTCCAGTTGAAAACAGATAATTTGACATTCTAGAGATGGCTGTAAGCAAACATTTAAAACCTTTGAGAGAATACAGCACACAAGGGAGACTACTATTATGACTATGAGGAAGATAATACCAAGAGTTTGGAGTATGATTCTTACCCAGGATACCCATAAACCAAATCAACTAAAATAAAATAGATCAAAGAATAAGCCAGATAAAGAGTCTGCTCACTGAACTAAGCAGTCTCTTTATTAATCCACTACAACTGAATCTCTATAATCTACATTTGATATATATTCTCCGTTGGCCACAAGCGTCAGCACCTGCACAGATACTTTTCTGTTTAGCCAATTCTATTATTTAGCAAACGTTTTACAAGAGAATTTGGTCTGTTGTGTAACTATAGGCTTTACAATAGAATCTGCTATAGAGCGTATCATGAGGAATCCATTTCTAATCATTGCTTATTTTACTCGAAACCATCCAAAAGGACCTAAAAAATGATGTCTGTTTAGAAGAGTGAAAGATTTCTGGCAATGTTCTCTTTAATCCATGATGTGGGTTAAGAGAAGTGAACCAGTGTTCTGTTTCTGAGTGATTGTGAAGCAACGTATGTACTGTTTAAGTTTCTGGCTTACCTTGGGCCTTCATTTTTTATCTATCAAGGTATAAGGTTATCCATGTATAAGGCTGGCTGCAAAATCCTTCACAAATAGAAGTTTTCCTCCTAAGTGCACACAACAGACCCTCTTTTTACTTATATTGTTCATATAGGCATAAATAAGGAAAAAATATTTAAAGATAAGGGTCTCATGAGAATAGAGAAGTCTTGATCCACGGTCTTGGAAAAAAGCTGCTCACATCAAGGATGCCATCTTCTTCTGGTGAGAAATCTCCCTGGATAGCTTTTTCTTAAGGGTTCTAATGGGTGTACAGTTCCAAGAGTGTGGAGGGGCTCTTCTCAGTTGTGGGATTATGAACCTAAAATTCAAGGCACTGAAGGTTTGTTGTAGTGTGGATGTCAAGGGTGGTCTTTCTCCAATTTTCTCAGAAGATCCAATCTTCGGGTTCTAGATTGTGAAGGGGTTGATTGGCCTCAGTCAGTAAATCATAAAGAGTTTTCTTTGAAAATACACTGTGGAATAACAATTTAGTATTATAACACCAGCCCTCTTGCATAGAAAAGCTTTTATATAACCAGAAAACATGTGTTGAAAATGACAATTGAATGAAATCCCTCTCTAAGTGTTTAAATGGCCCATCAGGTAGCCAAATGTACCCAAAGCTTTTATTGTTTTCCCAGGAATATTAACTTGAAAAACCAAATATTTGTCATAAACTATTTTAGCAATTTAGAAGTCATGACGCCAATACATATTTGGATAATTTGGATAATTTTACCTTTTCCATGATGAATCATGGAATACAAAATATTTAATAACAAAAGCTTTAAGGACTCTGGAAGGACAAGGTTGCTGTCCTGGTTCTCCATGAGTTCATGTTTAACATTGGACTTATGTTTTCTTGAATATCAGTTGTTTCTCCAATTTAGGTGCATAGCACTGAAACCTGATGGGTTATCATAGGTAATGTGAGTTTTCATATCCACAAATTTTGCGTTTGTAGATGCAACCAACCACAGTTCAAAGATGTTTTAAAGAAACATTAAAAGTAACAATACAACCATAAAAATAATACAAATTTTAAAAATCGATGTAATGTAGAACCTATTTACATCATATTTACATTGCATTTGGAATCATAAGTAATGTAGAGATTATTTAAAGTATATAGGAGAATGGGTGTAGGTTATATACAAATACTATGCCATTTTTTATAAAAAATTGTGCATCTGTAAATTTTGTTATCTGAATGAGGGGCATGTTGTTGAAACAATTTTCTACAGATGTTATGAAACAACTGTATTTAATATTTGAGTACTTCACCACTTGCAAATTATACCTTGATGAAGTTAAAAGGTAAAAAGTTAATGAACAAATCTCCAGGGTTTTGAAGAAATTAACAAATTAAAATGTATATGGAAATGTAATGCACTTAGAATACCTGTGACATACTTAAAAAAACAAAATTGAAGGATTACACAGCAATATTTCAAGATATAATATAAATCTGTAGTATCTTAGATTGTACCTTGTTGCCACCAAGTATAGACAAATAGACCAGTGAGATAGAATAGAATCCTGTAGTAGAACCACATGTATTTAGTCATTTTATACTATAAAAATGTCATGGAAATTCAAAGAGGAGCTGGCTGTCTCATCAAAAATTGTGCTGGAAATAATTTTGCATTGCAGGGCAAAAAGGAAAGACCAAAAAAAGGCCCAGAATCTTGATTAGCTAAGCAAACAGACAGTAGAGTTTGGAGAGATTAAGGTGGCTAAACTTTAAGATGCAGCATATCCTTAAGAGAGATTTAGGAAAGGAAAGAGTTCTATAAATCTGCATAAGTGTTCCTTTGAGCCTTTGCTGTATGCCAATCTGTGCATGTGTAGATGACATCCCATGAGATCAGACAAAAAAAAACAACAAACCTTAAGTATGATCATCAACAAAGTATAAGAAAAATACAATTCACAAACTCACATGTCTGAGAAAAACTTATGTTTTTCATATTCATCGTGGAGGAGGAGGGGCCAAGATGGCTGACTAGAAGCAGCTAGTGTACACCACTCACATGGAGAGAAGAAAGAGTATGAATATCTACTACATATTCAAACGGAACATCCAGGAGAATACACTGGGATTCATCAAGGAAGCAATTAGACCCACAGAGAATGGAGAGGAGTGAGACAGGATGACTGCCCACCCGGAAATGACATGGAACCAGGAGACACTTCCCCACCATGGGGAAATGGTAAGTGAGTAAGACTCCTTTGGGACCTACACTTCTGCCATGAACCTTTGCAAACCTGGGCTCAGGTGATCCTCCCATGATCCCACCCAACTGGGGCCACCAGACTTACGTGGAGAACTACATAGAGTCTGGGCAGAGCCACTGCTCAGTCACACCTAAAGTCCTGGGAGCTTTGAATCCCTGGGCATCCCAGTACTAGTGGTTGCAATTCTGGCAGTGCAGGAGGTAAGGCTCCCTAGCATGCAGCCAGAAAGGGACTGAATCCAGGAAGCTGACCAGCAACAGACTGCATGCCTCACTGCCAATGCATTTTGAAGATTAAGGCCCACTGTGCTGGGTCTACAGCTCTGCCCCCACCCGGTCTGGGCTCTCTGGTCGGTAGCAGCTCTGCAGTTCCCCAGAATAAAACTTCCAGAGGGAGAGGTCAGCCACCATTTTTGCTCTCTTGTATCCTCCACTGCTATAGCGTTCAGGCTCTGGGGAGTATGTGGTGATAAGGGAGTGGCACGAATTCACTGCACAATGCAGCCATCCCATGGAAAAGTGGCCAGTCTGTTTTTTTTTTATTTTTATTTTTTTTATGTAGGTCCTTGATCCCACTTCTCACTGGACAGAATCCCAGACCTGGGACTCCAGCCATTCTCCACCAGGGCTCTTGAGCTGGTATCAGCTCTGCACTCTGAAACGGAGCTCAATGAGGGAGAGGCCAGCTGCCATTTTTGCTGCCTTGCAGCTTCTGCTGGTGTAGCGTTCAGGCCTTGGAAAGTACATGGGGATTAGGGAGTGGTGTGGATCTCCAGCAATGTGCAGCTGTCCCATGGAAAAGCAGCTGGACTGTTTTTTAGTGTGTCCCTGATCCTGCTTCTCCTCTCTGAGTAGGAACCCCAAACTGAGACTCCAGCCAAACCTCGCTGAGGCTCTTGGGCGGGTAATAGTCCTGAACTTCCCTGGAACAGAGCTCCTGAAAAAGAGTCCAGCCACTATTTTGGCTGTCTCTAAGCACCTGCCACTATTGCCTTCAGTCTCTAAAGAGTATGCAACCATTAGGAAGTGACCCAATTCCCCAGCACAGTGCAGCCTTCCCACAGAAAAGTGGTCAGTTTTTTCTCCATATGGGCCTTCATGCTGGCTCCTCATTGCTTGGCAGGGTGTCCTGACCTGAGACTCCAGAACAACTACCCTGCCCCTGCTTGAGCACTTCAATTGAAAGTGACTCTGCATTTCTCTGAGGAGGAAATCCCAGAGATAACCTACAACCCCTCTGCCATTGTAGCTGCAGTGGTACCCTCCTAACTGCCCTCTGCCGGAAGGAACAAAGGGACAAGTTGCTATGCTGGCACTACCAGCACATCACAGCCGCCATATGGAGAGGAATTCAGTCTCTTTTCCCTGTGAGCCCCAGCACCCCAATTTTCACCAGTCAGGGCCCCAGGTTCAGGACTGCAGAACAGACACCCCACCCATAGCTGAGCATGCCTACTTGTACTGGCTCTGTGTTTCCTAGGTAGGGACTCACAGAGGCAACCAACATCTCCTCTGACACTGCCACAGCAAAGGCTCTGCCCTTGCTGCCCACTGTCTGGGGAACAAACATCGACTCTGAGGGCTTCAATCAAACTTCCACCATGCCACAATCATGATACAGAGGAGCCCAGTCTTTCATCCCTGTGAGCCCTTGATCTGCTCTTCAACAAGCAGAGCCCCCAGTTCAGGCCAGCAGAGCAGCTGCCCCAACCCATGGTTGAACATTCGCAGTAGCAGTGGTTCTGCATTTCTCCGAGGTAAAACTCCCAGAGGGAAACAAATGCCACTCTGCCACTGCCACTGCAGTGCTACCGCCCTTGCTGTCTTCAGACTTAGAAAGGAGCAAATACCCTGAGTATTTTAATCATAACTCCAGCAATCTTCAGTTGCCCTAAAGAGAAGAAGCCATTCTGTCTCCAATGTGACCCACTCCACTTAAATTATTAGATCATCAAGGCAGAAAGCTAACAAAGATATTGAGGACCTGAGCCCAACACTAGACCAAATGGATCTTATAGAACTCTACAGAACTCTCCACTGGAAACAACAAAATATAAATTCTTCTTATTACCATATGGTACCTACTCTAAAATTAACCATATAATCTGCCATAAAACAAACCTCAGCAAATTCAAAAAAATCAAAATCATACCAACCATATTATCAGACCACAGTGGAATAAAAATAAAACTCAATGCTAATAAAATTGCTCAAAATCATAGAATTGCATGGAAATTAAATAACTTGCTACTGAATGACTTTTGAATAACTAATGGTATTAAGTCAGAAATCAAGAAGTTCTTTGAAACTAATGAGAATAAAGATACACCAGAATCTCTGGGACATAGCTAAGAAAGTGTTCTGAAGGAAGTTCATAGCACTAAATGTTCACATCAAAAAGAAAGATCTCACATTAACACCCTCATATCATATCGGGGAACCTGCCCCGATAGTCACATAGGTTCTTTTCTATTTTCCCTAAGCGTCGGCCGGTTTGAGAAATAAAGGTACAGAGTACAAAAGAGAGAAATTTTAAAGCTGGGCATTCGGGGGAGACATCACATGTCGGTAGGTTCCGTGATGCCCCACAAGCCACAAAAACCAGCAAGTTTTTATTAGGGATTTTCAAAAGGGGAGGGAGTGTACGAATAGGGTGTTGGTCACAAAGATCATGTACTTTACAAGGTAATAGAATATCACAAGGCAAATGGAGGCAGGGCGAGATCACAGGACCAGAGGACTGGGGCAAAATTAAAATTGCTAATGAAGTTTGGGCACCATTGTCATTGATAACATCTTATCAGGAGACAGGGTTTTGAGAGCAACCCGTCTGACCAAAATTTATTAGGCGGGAATTTCCTCTTCCTAATAAGCCTGGGAGCACTATGGGAGACTGGGGTCTATTTCACCCCTACAGTCTACAGACCATAGAAGATGGCCACACCCAGGGGGCCGTCTATAGACCTACCCCCAGGCATGTATTCTCTTTCCCAGGGATGTTCCTTGCTGAGAAAAAGAATTCAGCGATATTTCTCCCATTTGCTTTTGAAAGAAGAGAAATATGGCTCTGTTCTGCTCGGCTCACTGGCGGTCAGAGTTTAAGGTTATCTCTCTTGTTTCCTAAATATTGCTGTTATCCTGTTCTTTTTTAAAGGTGCCCAGATTTCATATTGTTCAAACACACATGCTCTACAATTTGTTCAGTTAATGCAATTATCACAGGTCCTGAGGTGACATACATCCTCCTCGGCTTTCGAGATGACAGGATTAAGAGATTAAAGTAAAGACAGGCCTAGGAAATCACAAGGGTATTGATTGGGGATGTGATGTGTCCATGAAATCTTCACAATTTATGTTTAGAGATTGCAGTAAAGACAGGCATAAGAAATTATAAAAGCATTAATTTGGGGAACTAATAAATGTCCATGAAATCTTCACAATCCACATTCTTCTGCCATGGCTTCAGCCGGTCCCTCCGTTTGGGGTCCCTGACTTCCCGTAACAATATCACAACTAAAGGACTAAAAGAATCAACAGCAGATCAACCCCAAAGCCAGAAGAAGATGACAAATAACCAACTTCAGAGCCAAACTGCAGGAAATTTAGACATGAAAAACCATATGAAAGATTAATGAATTAGGAGTTTATTCTTTGAAAAATCAATAAAATAGACCACTAGCAAGAGTAATAAATAAAAAAGAGAGATATTACAAATAAATACAATTTGAAATGCCAAAGAGGACATTAAGAATTACAAAGAACCCTCAGAAACTACTACAAACATCCATATGCACACAAACAAGAAAACCTAGAAAAAATAAATTAATTCTTGGACACGTACAAATTCTCAAGACTGAACCAGAAAGAAATTTAATTTCTGAACAGAACAATAACAAGTTTCAAAATTGAATCAGTGGTAAAAAGCCTACCAACCAGAAAAAGCCCATGACCAGATGGATTCACAGCCAAATTCAACCAAATATATAAAGAATTGATAACATTTCCTACTAAAATTATAAAACGTTTACAAGCAGGTACTCCTCCCCAATTCTTTCTATGAGGCCACCATCATTCTGATATTAAAACCTGGTAGAGACCAAACAAACAAAAATGTCAGGCCAATATCCTTTATGATCAAAGATACAAAAATCCTCAAAAAAATACCTGCAAATTGAATCCAGCAGCACAAGAAAAACAAGTCCACAAAGATAAAGTAGGCTTTATACCTGGGATGTGAGGTTGATTCAACATACACAAATCAATAAATGTGATTCATCACATAAACAGAACTAAAAATAAAAACCACATGATCACCTAAATAGATGAAAAGTCTTTCAATAACATTGAGGATCTATTTATATTAAAAACTCTCAATAAATTTGGCATTAAAGGAACATACTTCAAAATATAAAAAGCCATCTATGACAAACCCACACACAACATTATATTGAATGGAAAAAAGTTGGAAGCGTTCCTCTTGAAAACAAAAAAAAGGATAAGGATGGCTTCTATCACCACTCCTATTCAACATAATACTGAAAGTCCCTTCCAGAGCAATCAGGAAAGATAAAGAAACAAATGGCACCCAAATAGGAAAATAAAAAGCCAGATTATCCTCATTTGAAGATGACATCACTCTATATCCAGAAAATCCCATAGTCTTGGTTCAAAAGCTCCATCAGGTGAGAAACAACTTCAGCAAAGTTTCAGGATATAAAATCAGTGCACAAAAATTAGTAGCATTTGTGAACACCAACAACATACGCTGAGACTCAGATCAGGAATGTAATTTCATTCAAAATTGCCATAGAAAGAACTAAATACCTGGGAATACAGCTAACCAGGGAGGCAAATTATGTCTACAAAAAGAACTACAAAACACTGCTCTGAGAAATAAGAAATTGCACAAACAAATGAAAACACATTCCAGTCTCATGTGAGGAAAGAATCAATATTGTTAAAATGACAATATTGCCCAAAGCGATTATAGTTTTAATGCTATTCCCATCAAACCACCAATGATGTTCTGCACAGAATTAGCAAAAATGCATTTTAAAAATTATATGGAACAAAAAAAAGCCTGAATAGCCAAGGCAATCCTAAGCAAAAAACAAAACAAAAACAAACAAACAAACAAACAAAGCTGGAGACATTATCTTACTTGACTTCAAACTATATTAGAAGGCTACAATAAGCAAAAGAGACTAGTACCAAAATATACACATAGACAAATGGAGCAGAATAGAGAGCCTAGAAATAATGCTGCACACCTACAATCATCTGATCTTTGACAACGTTCATCAAAGCAAGCAATAGAGAAAGGACTCCCTATACAATAAATGGTCCTGGGATAACTGGCTAGCCATATGCAAAAGATTAAAATGACCCCTGTCTTACATTACATATAAGAATAAATTCAAGATCGATTAAATACTTAAACATAAAACCTAAAATGAAAATCTCTGGAAGATAACGTAAGAAATACCATTCTGGACATAGGAACTGATAAAGATATTATGAAGAATTTACCAAAAGCAATTGGAACAAAAGCAAAAATTGACAAAGAGGACTTAACTCAATTAAAGAGCTTCTGCACAGCAAAAGATACTATCAACAGCATAAACAAACAACCTATGCAATGGGAAAAAATATTTTCAAATTATGCATCCAGAAAACATCTAAATTCCAGAATCCATAAGACACTTATACAAATTTATAAGCCAAAAAACAACAACAACAACAAAAACAAAAAACAAATCACCCCATTAAAAAGTGGGCGGCCGGGTGCCGTGGCTCACGCCTGTAATCCCAGCACTTTAGGAGGCCGAGATGGGCAGATCATGAGGTCAGGAGATGGAGACTATCCTGGCTAACACGGTGAAACCCCCGTCTCTACTAAAAATACAAAAAATTAGCTGGGTGTGGTGGTGGGTGCCTGTAGTCCCAGCTACTCAGGAGGCTGAGACAGGAGAAGGTCGTGAACCTGGGAGGCAGAGCTTGCAGTGAGCCGAGATCGCACCACTGCACTCCAGCCTGGGCGACAGAGCGAGACTCTGTCTCAAAAAAAAAAAAAATAATAATAATAATAATAAATAAATAAAAAATAAAAAGTGGGCAAAAGACATGATCAGACACTTCAAATGAAGACATATGTGTGGCCAACAAGCGTATGAAAAAAATACTCAACATCACTAGTCATTAGATAAATGCAAATCAAAAGCAAAAAGAGATACTAACACCAGTCAGAATGGCAATTATTTTTTTAAAGTTAAAATATAACAGATGCTGATGAAGTTGTGAAGAAAGTGGCATGCTTTTACACTGCTGGTGGGACTGTAAATTAGTACAGTCATTGTGGAAACCTGCATAACAATTCCTCAGATGACTTGAAACACAATCACCGTTCAACCCAGCAATGCCATTTTGGGTATATACCTAAAATAATATAAATTGTGCTACCATAAAGACATATGCACATGTATGTTCATTGCAGCAATATTTACAATAGCAAAGATATGGAATCAACCTAAATACCTATCTGCAGTAAACTAAATTAAAAAAATATGGTCCATATGCACCATTGGATACTACACAGCCAGAAAAAGAATTAGATTATGTTCTTTGCAGCAACATGGATGAAGCTAAAGGCCATTATCCTAAGCAAACTCACACAATAGCAGAAAACCAAATACCACACATTCTCAAGTAGGAGCTAATCAATGAGAACACATGAACACAAAGAGGGGAACAACACATACTGGGGCCCACTTGAAAGTGGAAGGTGGGAAGAGGGAGAGAATCAGAAAAATTACCTATTGGGTACTATGCTTATTACCTGGGTGTTAAAATAATCTCTACACCAAGCCCCAATGACATGCAGTTTACCTATATAACAAAACTGCATATGTATCCCTAAACCTAAAATGAAACTTATAATTTTAAAAAGTGCAACATGGGGAGACCTTCTGAATACAGGATGTCTCTCAGTAGAGATCCTCAAGTGTTGTTCCTTAGAAGTAAAACTACGTTGGGCCTAAAGTAAATTCCTCCACAGCAGACCCGAGTTACATAAACTCTTAAAGGACATTCTTTAGACTGAATAAAAATGACACCAGATGGAAGCTTTTATCCGCTCTAAAAAATGAATGGTGTTGAAAAAAAATAAATTTGTGGGTCCATACAAAAGATATATTTTCTCATTGAACAATTTTTAAAATAAAATTACTCAAAGCACAAAACATTAGCAATGTATTGTGTATTTTATAGCATATGTGGTAATAAATTCTATGACAATAATAACACAATAGTCAGAAGAGGGCAAATGAAAATAAAGTGTTAAACAGTCAGATATTATACATAAAGAATAAAGTAAAATCTGTATGTTAATTTATTATATTTATATTATAAATGCAAGATTGGTCACTAAAAATAAGCAGGAGGCAAATAATGGTGGTTAAATTAAAATACTGAAAACTACTTAATTCAAAGGAAGGCAGGAAAATAGAAAAATGCAGAAAGAACAGATGGGATAAATAGAACACAAATAACTAAATGATTAATTTCAATCTATACAAGTCAGTAAGTATATTAAATGTAAACTCTATAAACACATCTATGAAAAGTCAGGATTAACAGACTGTTTTAAAAAGTAACACTTGACTATATATTGTTTACAAGGAATTGACTCTAACCAGTAATAGATTTGCTTAAAACCAAAAAACATAGAAAATGATATATAAGACAAACCCTAAGCATAAGAAAGCTGTAATGTTGATATAAAAATGAAATGTTTAGACCTCAGAATAAGAAATAACTCCAGTAGTAAACAGGGTCATTTCATATAATGAAAAAGTCAACCAGGGTCATTTCATATAATGAAAAAGTCAACCAATCAAGAAGTCATGAAAATCCTAATGTGTCTGCACAATATACAGTTTCAAAATTACTAATATAAAGCCTGATTAAAACTAAAAGGAGAAAGGGACAAAATCACTGTAATATTGAAAATTCAAATGCTATTCTTTGGGTACTGGATAGGAACAAGTATACAGAAAGATCAGTAAGAATACAAAACACCTGAACAACATTATCAACCATGAAAGACTAATTGACATTTATAGGACACTCCATCCAACAACAACAAAGTACAGTGCGTATCCTTTTAACTTTCATAGGAAATATTCACGAAAATAGATTATATACTGGATATTAAACAAAGTCCAGTGTATGTTAAAGGATTGAAATCATACAGATTCTTTTACTACAATGCAGTCAAATTGGAAACAATAGAAACTATCTGATAAAAATGCCAAATAATAGGAAATTAAATAATAATTTTTTAATTCCATGGATCAAAGAGGAAATTATACGTAAAATTATAAAAAATCTCAAATTAAATGGAAATAAAAACATAACATAAAAATATGTATGGAAATGCTGCTACAGCAATGATTATAGGGAAAATAGTGGCATTCAATGCTGTATTAGAAATTTTAAAAAATCTTAAGTAATCTGTTTCCACCCCAAAAAAACCTAAAAATTATCACATTAAATCCAAAATAAGCAGAAGTAGAGTTTCTGCTGAGAGATCCACTGTTAGTAAGGAAATAATATATAAGAGCATAAAATGAAAAATTGAAAAATAAAATAAAGCAAATGTGAAACCAAAAGATGGCTTTGTTTTAAAAAAAGCAGCCAAGCGCGGTGGCTCACACCTGTAATCCCATCACGTTGGGAGGCCAAGGCAGGAGGATCACCTGAGGTCAGGAGTTCGAGACCAGCCTGGCCAACATGGCGAAACCCTATCTCTACTAAAAATACAAAAATTAGCTGGCGTGGTGGCGTGTCGCTGTAATCTCAGCTAATCGGGAGGCTGAGGCAAGAGAATCGCTTGAACCCAGGAGTCAGAGGTTGCAGTGAGCAGAGATCGTGCCATTGCACTCCAGCCTGGGAAACAAGAGTGAAACGCCATCTCAAAATAAATAAATTAAATAAATAAATAAATAAGCAGTAAAAATTGATACAGTCTACCTTTGCTGATTAAGAGAAAAATGGGAGAAACACACATAATTAACATCACAAGTGAAAGAATAAACATACAGATTCTACAGACATTAAAAAAACACAAATAAAAATAATTTAAACCACTAAATTTTACCACTCAGATGATATGGAGAATTTTTTGAAAGACACAGAATGCCAAAATACACTGAAGAAGTAATCAAATTTCTTAATAGACTTATAGCTATTAAAATGAATTATTTAAAACATTCTTACAAATTAAACTTGAAGCCCAACCTATTTCACTGTTCAATTCTATGAAATATTTAAGAAAAAAATAATATAAATGCTAAGAAAACTATTTTGGAAAATAGAGGGGGAAACATTTTCCAATTATTTTTATAAGGCCAGCATTATCCAGATATCAAAACCAGACATATATATTCTAAACAAAAACAACAGCAAAAACTGTATACAACTGTTGTTCATTAGTATTGATGCAATTTTTAACAAAATATTATCAAATTTAAACAAGCAAAGTTAACGTGATAATGCAGCATGAAAAAGTGGGGTTTATATGAGAAATTCCAGGTTAACATTCAAATGTCAATCAATTTAATTTACCACGTTTAAATAATAAAAAAGGAATACCATATATTCTTCTCTAAACATGCAGAAAAGCATTGAACAACAACCATTACCCATTTATAATAAAACAGATGTATGTCAGTAAAGTAGAAATGTGTGATAATATTATCATCCTTTTTATAAATGAATATCAATCATGGTATAATTATATTTTATTTGAAAAAGCTGCTGAAAAAGCCAAATCAGCTATTTCAGTCTGTAACTTGCTTTTCATAAAGTAATGCACTGTGTGTGTTTATAATCTATTATTTCAAATTATTTTCACTGGCTATTTAAAAATTCTAAACACTTTAAATAATCTATTCAATAATCACTTGATATAAAACATACTATGTAAATTTAGTTTTAAAATATTATTAATAATATGTGGTTAGTCAGCTTGTTCTGTCAATATCACTTTAAGATATTAATATTATCCACAATTTGACTAAGTTTAAAGAGAAATCAAATAATATGTATATTGTCATTAAAAATTTACTTTCACAGTTTAATTCACAAATCAAGGAAAACAGGATATAGTATTTTAAACTATCAACTGAATACATACATCTGTTGTTAAGCCACAAAAGTCTCTATCAAAACAATTTCTGAATTTTCCTTTTTTTAAAAAATTATATTTTATTTTAAGTTCCAGGATACATGTGCAAGACATGCAGGTTTTTTGCACAGGTAAACCTGTGCCATGGTGGTTTGCTGTACCTGTCAACCCATCACCTAGGTATTAAGCCCTGCATGCATTAGCTATTTATTCTGATGCTCTCTTTTCCCCAGCCCTCCCGACAGGACCCAGTGTGTAATTGTTCCACTCTTTGTGTCCATGTGTTCTCATTGTTCAGCTCCCACTAATAAGTGAGAACATGGGGTGTTTGGTTTTCTCTTTCTATGTTATTTTGCTGAGACTAATGGCTTCCAGCTCCATCCATGTTACTGCAAAGGACATGGTCTCATTTTTTTTATGGCTGCATAGTATTCCATGATGTATATGTACCATGTTTTCTTTATCCAGTCTATCATTGATGTGCATTTGGGTTGATTCCATGTCTTTGCTATTGTGAACAGTGCTGCAATTAACAGATGTGTGCATGTATCTTTATAATGGAATAATTTATATTCTTTTAGGAATATATCCAGTAATGCGACTGCTGGGTTAAATGGTATTTCTGGTTCTAGGCTGTGATGAATTACCACACTGTCTTCCACAATGGTTGAACTAATTTACAGTCCCATCAATGGTGTAAAAGCATCCCTATTTTTTCATAGCCTCACCAGCATATGTTGTTCCTTGACTTTTTAATAATCACCATTCTGACTGACATGAGATGGCATCTCATTGTTGTTTTGATTTGCATTCTCTAATGATCAGTGATGTTGAGCTTTTTTTCATATATTTGTTGGCTAGATAAGTGTCTTCTTTTGAGAAGTGTCTGTTCATGTTCTTTGCCCACTTTTTAATGGGGTTGTTTGATTCTTACTTGTACATTTGTTTAACTTCCTTGTAGATTTTGGATATAAGACATTTGTCAGATGGATAGATTGCAAATTTTTCTCCCATTCCATAGACTGTGTGTTCATTGTGATGATAGTTTATTTTGCTGTCCAAAAATCTTTAGTTTAATTAGATCCCATTTCTCAATTTTTGAATTTGTTGCAATTGCATGTGATTTTTTTTTCCATGAACTATTTGCCCATGCCTATGTCCTGAATAGTATTGCCTAGATTTTCTTCTAGGGTTTTTATGGTTTGGGGTTTTACATTTAAATCTTTAATCCATCTTGATTTAATTTTTGTATAAGATGTAAGGAAGGGGTCCAGTTTCAATTTTCTGCATATGGATAGCCAGTTTTCTTAGCATCATTTATTAAATAGAGAGTCATTTTCCCATTGCCTGTTTTTGTCAGGTTTGTCAAAGATCAGATGGTTGTAGATGTGTGGTCTTATTTATAAGTTCTCTATTCTGTTGCATTGGTCTATGTGTCTGTTTTTGTCCCAGTACCATGCTGTTTTGGTTACTGTAGGCTTGTAGTATAGTTTGAAGTCAGGTAGCATGATGCCTCCACCTTTGTTGTTATTGTTTAGGATTGTCTTGGCTATATGGGCTTGTTTTTGATTCCATATGAACTTTAAAGTAGTTTTTCTAATTCTGTGAAGAAAGTCAATGATAGTTTAATGGAAATAGCATTGAATCTACAAATTACTTTGGAAAGTATGGCCATTTTTATGATATTCATTCTTCCTATCCATGAGCATGGAATGTTTTTCCATTTGTTTGTGTCCTCTCTTATTTCCTTGAGCAGTGGTTTGTAGTCCTCTTTGAAAAGGTCTTACACTTCCTTTGTTAGCAATATTCCTAAGTACTTTATTCTCTTTGTAGCAATTGCAAATGCAAGTTCATTTTTGATTTGGCTCTCTGCTTGTCTATTGTTTATGTATAGAAATGCATGTGATTTTTGCACATTAATTTTATATCCTGAGACTTTGCTGAAGTTGCTTATCAGCTTAAGGAGCTTTTGAGCTGAGATGATGGGGTTTTCTAGATATAGGATCATGTCATCTGCAAACAGAGACAGTTTGACTTCCTCTCTTCCTATTTGAATATCCTTTATGTCTTTCTCTTGCCTGACTGCCCTGGCCAGAACTTGAAATACTATGTTGAATAGGAGTGGTGAGAGAGGGCATTCTTGTCTTGTGCCAGTTTTCAAGGGGGAATGCTTCCAGCTTTTGCCCATTCAGCATGATATTGGCTGTGGGTTTGTTATAAATGGCTCTTATTATTTTGAAATATGTTCCATCAATACTTAGTTTACTGAGAGCTTTTAACATGTGGTGATGTTGAATTTTATCAAAGGCTTTTTCTGCATCTATTGAGATAATCATGTGGTTTTTGTCTTTAGTTCTGTTTATGTGATAAATCACATTTATTGATTTGTGTATGTTGAAGTAGCCTTGCATCCCCGGGATGAAGCTAACTTGATCATGGTGGATAAGCTTTTTGATGTGCTGCTGGATTCAGTTTGCAAGTATTTTATTGAGGATTTTCACATCAATGTTGTATTAGTCTATTTTCTTGCTGCTGATAAAGACGTACCTGACACTGGGAAATTTACAAAAGAAAAATGTTTAACAGCCTTACAGTTCCACATGACTGGTGAGGCCTCACAATCATGGCAGAAGGCAAGGAGGAGCAAGTCACAGTTTACATGGATGGCAGCAGGCAAAGAGGGAGAGCTCCTCTTGGGAAACTCCCCATTATAAAACTATCAAATCTCATAGGACTTATTCACTATCATGAGAAGAACATGGGAAAGACATGCCCTCCTCATTCAATTACCTCCTACGGGGTCCCTCCCACAATACATGGGAATTCAAGATAAGATTTGGGTGGGAACACAGCCAAACCATATCCTTCCACTCCTGCCCCTCCCAAATCTCATGTCCTTTCATTTCAAACAATCATGCCTTCCCAACAGTCCCCCAAAGTCTTAATTCATTTCAACATTAACTTAAAGGCCCTCAGTCCAAAGTCTCATCTGAGACAAGGCAAGTCTTTTCTGCCTATGAGCCTGTAAAATGAAAAGTAAGTTAGTTACTTCCTAGATACAATGGGAGTATAGGTATTGGGTAAATACAGCCATTCCAAATGGGAGAAATTGGCCAAAATAAACGGGCTAAAGGATCTAGAGTGTCCAAAAATCCAGCAAGGCAGTCAAACTTCAAAGCTCAAAAATGATCTCCTTTGACTCCAAGTCTCACGTCCAGGTCACACTGATGCAAGAGGTGGGTTTCCATGGTCTTGGGCAGCATCACCCTGTGGCTTTGCAGGGTAAAACTCCCCTCATGACTGCTTTCATGGGCTGGTGTTGAGTGTCTATGGCTTTTCCAGGCACACAGTGCAAGCTGTCAGGGGATTTACCATTCTGGGGTCTGGAGAATGGTGGTCCTCTTCTCACAGCTCCACTAGGCAGGCAACCAGTGGTAACACTGTGTGGGGGCTTCAACCCCACATTTCCCTTCCACAGAGGTTCTCCATGAGGGCCTCACCCCTGCAGCAAACTTCTGCCTGGACATCCAGGCATTTCCATACATCCTCTGAAATCCAGGTGGAGGTTCCAAAGCCTCAATCTTGACTTCTGTGCACCCTCAGGATCAACACCACATGGAAGCTGCAAAGGCTTGGAGTTTGTACCCTTTTCTCCATGGCTAGAGTGGCTGGGATGCAGGGCACCAAGTCCCTAGGCTGCACAGAGGGTCTGGAATGCAGGGCACCAAGTCCCCAGGCTGCACAGCAGGGGGGTCCTGGCTCCATCCCATGAAACCATTTTTTCATCCTAGGCTTCTGGACCCATGATGGGAGGGGCTGCCGTGAAGGTCTCTGACATGCCCTGGAGACATTTTCCCCATTGTCATGGAAATTAACATTTGGCTTCTCCTTACTTATGGAAGTTTCTGTAGCCGGCTTGAATTTATCCTCATAAAATGGGTTTTTCTTTTCCATCACATCATCAGGTTGCAAATTTTTTGAACTTTTATGCTCTGTCTTCCTTTTAAAACTGAATGTCTTTACCAGCACCCAAGTCACCTCTTGAATACTTTGTTTTTCTGCCAGATACCCAAAATCATCTCCCTCAAGTTCAAAGTTGCACAAATCTCTGGGGCAGGGACAAAATACTCCCAGTCTCTTTGCTAAAACAGCAAGGGTCACCTTTACTCCAGTTCCCAACAAGTTTCTCATCTTCATCTGAGACCACCTCAGCCTGGATTTCATTGTCCATATCATTATCAACATTGTGGTCAAAGCCATTCAACAAGTCTCTAGGAAGTTTCAAACTTTTTCACATTTTCCTGTCTTCTTATGAGTTCTCCAAACTATTTCAGCCTCTGCCTGTTACCCAGTTTCAAAGTTGCTTCCACATTTTTGGGTATCTTTACAGTAGTGCCCCACACTACTGGTACCAATTCACTGTATTAGTTCATTTTCACACTGTTGTTAAGGACATACTTGAGACTGGGCAATTTACAAAAGAAAGAGGTTTAATGGACTTAGAGTTCCACGTGGCCAGGGAGGCCTCAAAATTATGGCAGAAGGCAAGGAGGAGCAAGTCATGTCTTACATGGATGGCAGCAGGCAAAGAGAGAAAGCTTGTGCAAGGAAACCCCCTTTTATAAAACCATCAGATCCCTTGTGACTTATTCATTATCACAAGAACTACACAGGAAAGACCTACCCCCATGATTCAATTACCCCCCACTGGGTCCCTACCACAACACATGAAAATTCAAGATGAGATTTGGGTGGGGACACAGCCAAACCATGTCAAATGTTCATCAGGGATATTGGCCTAAAGTTCTCTTTATTTGTTATATCTCTGCCAGGCTTTGTTATCAGGATGATGCTGGCCTCATAAAATGAGTTTCAGAGAAGTCCATTCTTTTCAATTGTTTAGAATAGTTTCAGAAGGAATGGTACTAAAACAGCCTTGTTGTTTTGGGTAAGTACCAAGGTTCTTGCTCTCACAGCTGAGGAAATCATGGACATGGATCCAGCACACAGAGTGAGAGTGGAGCAGGAGTTTAATGGGCAAAAAGAAAGAACAACTCTGTCACAGACAGAGGTCCTGGACAAGTTTGCAGGTTGTAGTAAAAATATCAGGATTTGTATAAATAAATAGTGAGGTAGGGGCATCTTATCTTTATAGGGACTGAAGAACCCATTAGGAACAGGTGGGCCATCTGCATAGAGCAGTGTTTCTAGCAGCCCCCACCCTATTCTTTGATCATGCAGGCAGGTCCTTAGTTTGAGCTGCTTATCTGCATGTGCTGAAAGGAAAGGGGGCAGTTTCTGTGCCTGTTTCCAGGAAACTTCTTGCAGCTGCAGGCATCCCCCACTACTTCCCCCACCTTGTAACCTTCCAGCTTCTCTATCTTAGTGTGCCTAAAGAAAGGGAAAGGAATGTGCTTGTTAAGGCCCACTGTTTTTACTGGAGCCCATCATATGTATGTGAACTTTGGTAATTACCTAGGCAGCTCCTCCTGTGTGCCTGAGTTGCTTATCTTTGTTTTACAGCTTGATCTTCCAGAATGCTCTTTGTTAGTCTTTGAACTGTGTGTGGTTAGAAAGGGATCAATTTCTGATCTGCTTTTTGTTAGAAGGAAAATTTTCTGCTGGGTACTGTCTTTAATCTAACGGTATACCTAAATAATTTCTTTATATTTCCTATAACAGTACCAGATCCTCTTTGTACCTCTGGTACATTTTGGTGGTAAATCCACCTGGTCCTGGGCTTTTTCTGGTGGTAGTCTATTTATCACTGCCTTGATTTCAGAAAATGTTATTAATCTATTCAGGGATTTGATTTCTTCCTGGTTTAGTCTTGGGAGGGTGTATGTGTCCAGAAATTTATCCATTTTTTGGTAGATTTTCTAGTTTATTTGTTTAGAGGTGTTTATAGTATTCTCTGATGGTTGTTTGTATGTCTATGGGGTCAGTGTTGATATTCTCTTTTTCATTTTTATTGTGTCTATTTCATTATTCTCTCTTTTCTTCTTTATGAGTCTAGCTAGCAGTCTATTTTATTAATTTTAAAAAAATAACTCCTGGATTCATTTATTTTATAAAGGGATTTTCTAGTCTCTATCTCCTTCTGTTATGCCCTAATCTTAGTTATTTCTTGTCTCCTGCTAGCTTTTGGTTTGTTTGCTCTTGGTTTGCTAGTTCTTTCAGGTATAATGTTAGGGTGTCAATTTGAGATATTTCTAGCATTCTGATGGGTTCATTCAGTGCTATTAATTTCTCTCTTAATATTGCTTTAGCTGCATCCCAGAGATTCTGGTACATTGTCTCTTTGTTCTCATTGGTTTCAAAGAACTTCTTTATTTTTGTCTTAATTTCATTATTTACCTAGGGGTCTTTCAAGATCAGTTGTTCAATTGCCATATTGTTGTGTGCTTTTGGGTGAATTTATGTGCTTTTGAGTGAATTAAGTTCTAATTTGGTTGAACTGTGGTTTGAGATACTGCTTGCTGTTATTTAAGTACTTCTGCATTTGCTGAGGAATGTTTTACTTCCAACTATGTGATCAATTTTAGAGTAAGTGCCATGTGGCACTGAGAAGAATGTATATTCTGCTGCTTTGGGGTGGAGAGTTCTTTAGATATCTATCAGGTTTAGGTGATCCAGAGCTGAGTTCAAGTCCCAAATATCCTGGTTAGTTTCTTGTCTTGATGATATGTCTAATATTGACAGTGGAGTGTTAAAGTCTCCACTGTTATTGTGAAGGAGTCTGTCTTTTTTATGTCTCTAAGAACTTGTTTTACACATCTGGGTGCTCCTGTATTGGGTGCATATATATTTAGTATTGTTAGTTCTTCTAGTTGAATTAATTCCTTTACTATTATGTCTTGCCCTTCTTTGTCTTTTTTGATCTTTGCTGGTTTAAGGTCTATTTTGTCAGCAACTAGGATTGCAACCCCTGATTTTTTTCTACTATTTGCTTGGTAAATTTTCTCCATCCCTTTATTTTGAGCATATGTGTGTCTTTCAACATGAGATGAGTCTCTTGAATACAGCACACCAATGGGTCTTGACTCTTTTACAGTTTGCCATTCTGTGTCTTTAAATTGGAGCATTTAGCCCATATACATTTGATGTTAATATTGTTATGTGTGAATTTGATCCCATCATCATGATGCTACGAGGTCATTTTGCAGACTAGTTGATGCAGTTTCTTCATAGTGTCATTGGTCTTTGTACTTCAGTGTGTTTTTGCAGTGGCTGCTACCAGTTCGTCTTTTCTTATTTAGTGCTTCCTTCATAAGCTCTTGCAAGGCTGGCCTCATGGTGGTGAATTCCCTCAGCATTTGATTGTCTTAAGAGAATTTTATTTTCCTTCAGTTATGAAGCTTAGTTTGGTCAGACATGAAATTCTAAGTTGGAAATTCTTTTGTTTAAGAATGTTGAATATTGGCCCCCACTCTTTTCTGGCTTGTAGGGTATCTGCTGAGAGGTCTGCTGTTAGTCTGATGGGCTTTCCTTTTAGGTGACCTGGACTTTCTCTCTGGCTGTCCCTCACATTTTTTTTCTTCATTTCAACCTTGAGAACCTGATGATTTTGTGTCTTGTGGTGACCTTCTCAAGGAGTATCTTATTGGAGTTCTCTGGATTTCCTGAATTTAAATGTTGGCCTGTTATGCTAGGTTGTGGAAGTTCTCCTGGATGATGTCCTGAAGTGTGTTTTCCAACATGGTTCCATTCTCTCCATCTCTTTCAGGTACTCCAATCAGTTGTAGATTTGGTCTTTTAACATAGTTCCATAGTACTTGGAGGTTTAATTCAATACTTTTTTTTTCTTTTTTCTCTAATCTTGTCTGCCTGCTTTATTTCAGCAAGTTTGTCTTCAAGCTCTGATATTCTTTCTTCCACTTGATTAATTTGGCTATTGATATTTGTGTGGGTGCATCACAAAGTTCCCATGCTGTGTTTTTCAGCTCCATCAGGTCATTTATGTTTCTCTCTAAACTGGTTATTCTAGTTAGCAGCTCCTATACCTCTTATCAAGGCTCTTAGATGCTTTGCATTGGGTTTGAATATGCTCCTTTAGCTCAGTAAAGTTTGTTATTACCCACCTTCTGAAGCCTACTTCTGTCAATTCATCTCAACCTCCACCCAGTTCTGTGCCCTTGCTGGAGAGGAGGTGTGATCATTTGTAGGAGGAGGGGCCCTCTGGCCTTTTGAGGTTTCAACATCTTTTTATTGATTCCTTCTCATCTTAATTAGTTTGTCTAGTTTTGTTCTTTAATGTTACTGACCTTTGGATGGGGTTATTGTGAGGACTTTATTACTGATGCTGTTGCTGTTGCTTGCTGTTTGTTTGTTTTTTAACAATCAGGCCCCTCTTCTGCTGGGCTGCTGCAGTTTTCTGGGGGTTCACTTTAGGCCCTATTCACCTGGCTCCCCCCTGCACCTAGAGATGTCACCCAAGGAGGCTGCAGAGCAGCAAAGATTGGTGCTTGCTCCTTCCTCTGGATCCTCTGTCCCTGAGGGGCACAGAGCTAATGCCAGAAGGAACGCTCCTGTATAAGGTTTCTGGTGATGCCTGTTGGGGTGTCTCAACCAGTCAGGGGCCTCAGGATCCAGGACTTGCTTAATGAAGCACACTGGCTGCCCCTTGGTGGAGGGGGTGTGCCATGCTGGGGGAAACCCAACTCGTCTGGGCTGCCCAGATTCCTCAGAGCAGAGCCAGCAATGGGGAGGACTAAGTGTGCTTGTCCATGGAGACCATAGCCATGACTACCCCTAGGGGCTCAGGCCCAGGGTTATCAAAGTTCTGTCCCTAAACCCCTGGCTGGAGTTGTTGAAGTTCCTTCAGGGAGGCCCCACTCAGTGAGGAGGGATAGGTTGGTGTCTGTCCTAAAGAGGCAGTCTGGCCACAACCTGCCACAGCCAGTGTCAGGCACTATGGGGAATCCATCCTGTATCCAAAAAGTCCAGTCTCCTTCGCACCATCAGGGAAAAAAATGGCAGCCTGGAGCTGCAGTGATGGCTACCACTCCTCCTCCCAGGAGTTCAGTCATCTTAGGCAGTATGCAGTATGGCTGCCACCCCTCCCCTGGGGAGCTCAGTCACCTTAGGCAGCAGGCAGCTGCTTTGAGGATGGCCATCCTTCCCCTGGGGAGCTCAGTTGTCTTAGGCAGCAGTCAGCTGCCGTGATAATGGCCACCCCTCTCCCCAGCAACTTGGTAGTCTTAAGCGGTCTCCAGCCAAGTGGCCGTTAAGAATCTGCACAGGTCTGTTGTGACTCAAGGCCTTGGTGGCATGGACTCATGATTGGGATCTCCTGATTCATGGGTTGCACAGATTCATGAAAAAAACATGGTTTTCCAGGCTGGATAGCACAATCACTCACCACCTCCTTTGGCTGAGGTTTGGGGCTCACCTTGCCCTGTGTGGCTCCCAGGTGGGCCACTGCACCACCCTGCTTTTTCTTGTTCTCCGTGGGTCATGTCAAATACCTAGTTAGTCTTGATGAGAAAACCTGGATACCTCTGTTGCCAGTTCAGAATTTGCACACTTTGTTCTAGGTGGGAGTCTCCGATTGCAGCTGTTTCTAGTCTGCCATCTTGGCCAGGCCCCCAATTTTTCTTAATTATTCTCTCCACTGCAAAAATATATTTATACATATTCAAAGTTTTAGTCACAGTACTCCCTGAAACCTGCCATTGTGGTGCAGTTAAATAAATATCCAACTGCTTCTGAGTGCAATTGTAAAACTATTGCAAAGAAGAGTTTATGTAGCTGGAAAAAATGAGTTAGGGACTGTGTTAGACTCTTCACCTTACAGTAGCTATTTTTTCCATAACCATGTCTGTTTCCTATGTTTTTTTTAGAGTATTGTTAGAAATTTTTGGTGCCAGAAACCACAGAGGATTCTAGCTCCAAGGAAGCAATTTGGAAATATACTTTTTAGGAAAATAGATAAAATTTTTCTCCCTCTATATTAAGTAAGAAATACTACTTTCACCCTTAAGATGGCAAATCAATCCACTTGAGAAATGAATTGGGATCTGTCATCCTCAATATTAAAATGGAATATTCTAATATCCATTAGAATATTAAAAATGATTGAGATATGTATACTTGAAATTACATTTGTTAGAATCAAGAATTATTTGTTCAGCTTGGTAGAAACAGAATGGCTATCAATAATGTAATTGTTTGCATATAATACATGTTTTACTAGTGCATTGAGAAGGTAGGATAGTGTAACTTCTATTTACAGGGAGTTTGGTATGGAATTTAGAAAACAATTGCTTCTTTACTCATATCTGTCTAGTGAGACTTTGTAAAAAAAAATGGTTGCAGAAATTATTTATGTGAGAGAAGAGAGAAATGTTAGTGATTTGAGAAAAAAGAGAAGGGTTCTTGAGACTTACCGTGGAATTTCAGACTTGGATGTAACTGTTGCTCAACTTTTTGAAATTATAATAACAATATGTAACAACTGCTTCTACCATCACTTTATAGACTGTATTGGAACAAAAAATTTCTAAGGGAGATATGAGACCTCTTAATGTTTTGCTGTTTCTTTTCATCCCGCTTGGCATATACAGCCTGTGGAAATAACATAATGTGCCTCAGATTCTAACTGATATGAGGAAAATTAAATACAAAGATGAGTAGCTTTTCTCAGAGATATGTTATAAATTAAACATTTGTTCAGAAAAGAAGCAGTCTCTGTAGAGAGTATTAGTCATATGACATAAGACAGAAATACTGAGGACAAATATATATTCAGGAAACTCTGCAGCAGGAAAAAGTAATTTACAAAGTATGGACATAACCCAGTTAAGCTTATGCTATTTCTAAACCTCATAAGAGACTTACTGAATTAATATCTTCCCACAACAGGGGTAAAATAATACTTACTAAAGAGTAAACCACTTTATAACACTGCCACTTCATACCCCAAGCTATAGACAATTAGCAACACATAAGGCAGCATTAGTGGCACCTTAATATTTTGAATACACTTGTTAAACTTTTCAGCTCTCTTTTCCTTGTTGTTTTACCTCATGTTTTATAATTGGCAGGGATGTAGCACTTATACAAAATTTATTTGAATAATCTCTAATGTGGCTACTATTTTAAAAACTTCTCTAATGAAGATTAACAATTAAGGATAATGCATTATCATAGGTATTTGACATCCTAAAATGAGATAAATATTTCATTAGTCTTATTGTTTGTTATTTATTATTATCAGTTCAACTTACTCTATAGTCTTGAATGGACATTCTATAAATCTCAGAGCATAATAGAATTTAGAAATTTTTTACTGAGTAACCTCAAATTTTGCAAATGAAGGTTATTATTAGAGAACAAGACTTAGGAGGTCGTCTTTTTCCTCTTAGTGAGAAAATACAGTAAAGAAATTGAATAAAAACTACAGCAGACACATTTCCAAAGTTTACCTCTAATCCATTCTTTCTGAATTTCTGTCTCCAGACTTTTCCTAAAGGCAGAAATCTCACTCAATGTGCCAGCAAATATAGGCCAGAAGTGTGTGCGTGTGGGATGAGGTGGAGGGGAGGGTATTAACATTTTAGAGAGTAAACCCTCAAACCAATTGAAGATGAGAGTATGGGGGGACAATTATGAGTTGCATTTTCCTTTATTCCTCACTGGGTTTCCAACAGGATTATGTTCCGCTTTTCCACAGTGGTAAGCAACTCTTAACATGCTGCTATATATCAGCTTTCACTTTTTTTCTTTCTCACCCTCCTGCCTTCTCACTTTGGCTTCCTGGAACTACCTTTCCCCAAAACCATCTGCCTCAAACCGTTGTCTCAAGTTCTGTTTTCAGGCAAAGCCAAATTGATAAAATAATTTAGCAATCTCGTCTCCATTAAGAAATATATCCTCATATTAAATGATATACATATAGTGATACATTGGAATTACATAAAACCATAACCCATTGGGCATGGAATTTCTGTGAAGTCATCTCCTTTTAATGTTTCAAATACTCCCAAAGCTCTACCTCCAGTTTCTACTAAGTCTTGCCAAGCAGATATTCCTACTAGACAGATTCAAAGCAATTGATTTTTACACTGTCACTTCTTCCCACCACAAACACATGCACTCATGTGCAAACAGGTCCTCTTCTTAAATTGTCAATCTTGGGAAAATTAGCAAAAAGCAGTGGTGATTAGTACGGCAATAAAATATTTACACATGTGCGTCAAGAGTGGTAGTATAAATAAGTAGGGACATTGTTGGGGAATTTGGTTAAAAAATATCAAAATTTTAAATATGCGTACATTACAACTAAATATTATTATAAGAATCTCTTTGTTATAAAGAAATAGTCATATATGTGCACTAAACACAAATCTCTTTAATATTATTATAAGAATCTCTTTGTTATAAAGAAATAGTCATATATGTACACTAAACACAAATCTCTTTATTGTAGTATTATATTTTTAATAGTGAAATGTTGCAAAAAATTAATGTACATCTGTAGAATAATAGTTTAAAATATTATATGTTGGGAGGTTCCAGTTCAACATGGCTGACTGAAGACATCAGATGCCTGTTTTTTCCAGAAAAAAGAACCAAAATTATGAACAGATAATCACACTTTGAATAGACTATTAAAGAAGAAAATATTAGAGTCCAACAGAGAACTCAGGGGAAATGCCTAAGGCACAGAATTAGGAGGAAACAAGAAGCCAACTTGTCTGAGAATTGGTCAGGCGCCTGTAGAGGCTTGGTGTTCTGGGGAGAGGGTGAGTGGGAGAGTTTTGATGTTCACATTCTTGCCATAGACTGTTGGGATCCAAACCACAGGAGAGTTCCTCTACTGCCACAAACCTTGGCATTAGTATGAGTGGTAATTTGGAGACCTCTTGAGAGCATTGCTCCAGACTGGGAACTCATGCTAAATCACTCACCCCTCCCCTCGGACCTGAGAGGCTGTGGCAGGGCACCGTTGTGAAGTGTAGCTGTCATGGGACTGCATCCTGCCCTGGGAACTACAGCACCCCATCTCTACATTCTAAAAGCTACTGCTGACATTCCCCAATGTCCACCTAGAGAGCTGCAGTGACACTGCACTGGCTGAACCGAAAGGTGCTTCAGGGTCCCCAGTAATCTAGCCTAGAGACAGTTTTCCTCCCTGGGGAAAGGGCAGTGCAGCACACCAAAAATGCAGTCCCTGGCCCAGAGAAAACTGGAATGCATGCGTTCCAGAGCCTGAAAGCTCTCTGTTTGGCATTTTAAGAAATGACTCCACCCCCAGCACTGGCACAAACTCTGTGCTTGGCCTTTCAAGGGACATGCAAAATCTCCTCCTACCTTCCAAGCAACCTTTTTGCTTAGAATTATGTATAGATAATGAAACCCTTTCTCCCCCACTGCATATAGTTGCAGGCATAGCTGCTGTTGCTGCTGTAGTTGGAGGCTGAAGGGGGTGAGCTGAAGTGCTGCCTGTCTGGGACTATGAGTGGCAACTGTGATTTCACTGGTTGCATGTCTTTGGAGCTTAGGCCCATGTATAGGTTGGGGTCTGTCCCACTCTCTGTACAGAGCTACGGTTTTGTTACCATAGAAAGCAGGAGAACCTGAAAGCTGTGTGTTTGAAGCTGTGGGTGAAGACTGCAGTGCAGCCACTGCCAGCTACTGCAGAAGTTTAGTACTGAGCAACAAGGCTAGTGACTTCTATGACACTGGGTTACCTTTCAGACTAGAAGTAAACTTCAGCAGTTAATGGATTATCTTAAATGTGGCCACAGTCAGGACAGGAAAGCGAGCCCTGCCAGGACAAAGGCATGAGAGGTAAGCAGGTTATACTGCCTACCAAGCCTGTGGCGCTGAGACTTCAGTGCAGTAGCAATAAAGCCTCACACAAATATTTTGCCAGGGGCTTGAAAAATCTTCTGCCACTCTTGTCAAGGCTGGAGTTCACATCTTCTATAGGGGTACCTGATTGTTCGCTTGCCCAGTCCAGCCCCACAAAGCTTCACCTATCTCTGTGAAACAGAGTGTATGATCCAAGCTTCTGGGGAGTCCGCAGCCCAATCCATCACCTGGAAAGCATAGCATTTTTCCTGGGGAACAGAGGTCAAGCGTAAGTTCTACTGCCACCACTACAGCTGATTCTTACTTGAGAGTACCACCTACTAGCCTGGGGGTTGTCTTATGCAACCCATTAGAACAACCGCCAACACCAGAGCAAGGCCCTTTGAACAAGAAAAGATTCTCATGACCACTGCTATCCCCATCACCCACACCACAGTGGCTACGAAGAAGGTCATCAGCAAGCTCATCCACATGGTACACTGCTACTAAAACTGGCATTTGAGAAAGCCACCAAACAAATGCTATTTATAATTAATAAAATCCTGCAGAGTCTATGCCAATGCACGCACCCAGAAGCAAAATCAAATTGCCCTACCCAACATACAGCATAGTCATATCTTCAAGAAAAAAATTTACTCCAACAAAATTAAGTTGCAAAATAAGAAGTGACTGTTAATTTAGATGCACATAAATTAACATAAATATACAGAAAGTATTAAAAAGCAAGGTATTACAACACTGCCAAAGAAACACAGTTCTCCAGGAATAGATTCCAAACAAAAAAAATAACAATTTTTGATATGCTAGATGTAAAATTCAAAATATTTATTTTAAAGAAACTCAATGAAATACAAGAAATGTGATTCCAATACAAATACAACAGAAAATCAATTCAGGATATGAACAAGAAATTTACTAAGGAGACAGATATCTTTAAAAAAGACAAATATAACATAGAAATAAAAAATTAACTGAAGGAATTGCAATATATACACAAATCTTTAAAAAATAGAGTAGGCCAAGAAGAAGGAAGAATCTCAGATGTTGAAGGCAGGTCTTTTGAAATAATACTGTCAGACAAAAATGAAGAAAAAAGAATAAAAGATAATGAACAAGACATTTGAGACATATAAGACTACATAAGGTAATTGAACTTATAAATTATTGGTATTCCTGATGGGAAAGAAAAATCTAAAATTTAGAAAACATATTTAAGAGAATATTTGATGAAAACTTTCCAAGTTTAGCAAGACATATAAATATCCAGACATAAGAGGCCCAATGATCTCCAAGAAAATGTATTACATAAAGGGTTTTAAAATGGCTGATTGATATCAAATCATCTAAAGTCAAGATGAAGGAATTAATTTTATAATCAGTGTATTAGGCTGTTCTCACATTTCTATAAAGAAATACCTAAAGCTGAGTAATTAATGAAGAAAAGAGGTTTAATTGGCTCATGGTTCCACAGGCTTTACAGAAAGCATGATGCTGGCATCTGCTTGGCTTCGGGAGATGCTTTGGGTATCTTACAATCATTGCAGAAGGCAAAGAGGAAGCCAGCACTTCACATGGCCAGAACAGGAGGAAGAAAAGGGGAGGTGCTAAACATTTTCAAACAACTAGATCCGGTGATAACTCAATCACTCAATATCACAAGAACAGCAACACAGGGATGGTGCTAAACCATTCAGGAGAAACTGACCCCATGATCCAATCATCCTCCATTAGGCCTCACCTCCAGCATTGGGGATTACATTTCAATATGAAATTTGGGTTGGCACACAGATTCAAACCATGTCATTCCACCCCTGGCCCTTCCAAAATCTTGTGTCCTCACATCTCAAAATACAATTGTGCCTTCCCAATAATTCCCAAGATGTAAACTTTTTCCATCATTAACTCAAAAGTCTCATCTGAGGAAAGGCCAGCCCTTTCCACCTATGAGCCTGTAAAATCAAAAACAAGTTAGTTACTTCCAAGATACAATTGCAGTATAGGCATTGGGTAAATATTCCCATTCCAGAAGGCAGAAATTGGCCAAAAGAAAGGGGCTACAGGCCCTATGCAAGTCCAAAATCCAGCAGGGCAGTCATTAAACCTTAAACTCTAAAATAATCTACTTTGACTCCATGCCTCATATCCAGGGCACACTGGTATAAGGGATGGTCTCCCAAGGCCTTGGGAAGCTTCATACTCATGACTTTGCAGAGATCAGCCCCAGCTGAAGTGCTCTCAAGTACTGGCATTGAGTGACTGCAGCTTTTCCACGTGCAGGGTGCAAGCTGCCATTGGGTCTACCATTCTGGAGGGGTCTGGAGGATGGTGGCCCTCTTCTGACAGCTCCACTATGCAGTGCCCCCGTTGGGATACTGTGTGGGGGCTCAAACCTCACATTTCTTTTCCATACTACCATAGCGGAGATTCTTGATAAGGGTGCTGCCCCTACAGCAGGCTTCTGCCTAGACATCCAGGCTTTTTCACACATTCTCTGAAATCCAGTTGAAGTATCTCCAGCCTCAACTCTTGCTCTCTGTGCAACCACAGGCTTAACTCCATGTGAAAGCAGCCAAGGTTTGTGGCCTACACCCCTCTGAAGCAGTGGTCTGAGCTGTACCTGGGTCCCTTTTACCCAGAGCTGGAGCTGGAATAACTGGCATGTGGAAAGCAGTGTCCTGAGGCTGCAGTGGTGTCCTGGGCCTGGCACACAAAGGGCAGTGGTGTCCTGGGCCTGGCACACAAAACCATTCTTCCCTCCTAAGCCTCCTGGCCTATGATGGGAGAGGCTGCCACAAAGGTCTCTGAAATGCCTTCTAGGCCTTTTCCCCATTGTCTTGGCTATTACTACTTGGCTCCTCTTTACTTATGCACATTTCTGCAGTCTGCTTGAATTTTTCCCCTGAAAACAGGCCTTTTTTTCCTACCACATAATCAGGCTGCATATTTTTCAAGCTTTTTTGCTCTGCTTCCCTTTTAAATATAAGTTCCAGTCACAATATCCCACTCCTCAGTACCAATTTTCTATATTAGATAATTCTTGCATGGCTATAAAGAAGAACCTAAGGCTAGGTAATTTATAAAGAAAAGAGGCTTAATTGGCTCATATTTCCACAGGCTGTACAGGAAGCATAGGGTTGGCATCTGACTGGCATCTGGGGAGGCCTCAGGACACATAATTATGGGGAAAGGCAAAGGGTAAGCCAGCACTTCACACGGCCAGAGCAGGAGGAAGAGAAGGGGGAGGCACTGCAAATAAAAAAAATAAAAAAAAAAATAACAATTCTAGATATATGTGCACCCAACACCACAGCACCCAAATTTATAAAACAAATATTACTATACTTGTATAGAGACATAGACAGCAATACAATAATATTGAGAGAATTCAGAACTCCCATCACAGCACTAACTGGCAATAACTCACTCACTCACTATTGTGAGAGCAGCACACAGGGATGGTGCCAAACCATTCAGGAGAAACTGACTCCACAATCCAATCACTTCCCATCAGGCCCCACCTCTAATATTGGGGATTACATTTCAACATGAGATTTGGGCAGGGAGACAGACCCAACCCATATCAATCAGTAAGAGAAAAATTTCTAGTCCCCTATAAAGAAAATCACATTAGACAAACAGCAGACTTCTCAGTAAAACCCTACAAGCCAGAAGAGAATAGGATAGGATTTTCAAAGTACTGAAATTTTAAAAAGCTGCCAGCCAGAATTTTATATTCAGTTAGACTAAGTTTTATAAATGGAGGAAAAAGAAAGTCTTACTTAGAAAGTCAAAGGTTAAAAATATTCATCAGCATTAGACTGTCCCTACAGAAAAAAATCCAAGAAGTCCTAAACATGAAAAAAGGATATGTTTTATCATAACACAAAAAAGTATAAAACTCATAGGTTTTATAAACCAATCACACACAAAAAAGAGAAAGGAATCAGATGGCAATTCAACAGAATTTTATGAAATCACAAAGACAAACAGAAAAAGAAAGAAGCAAATAATTTATAAAATGACTAGATAACAATTCATAATAATACGGAAATAAAAACTCACATATAATAATACTAGCCTTTAATTTAAATAGATTAAATGCTTCACTTAAAATATATAAATTGACAGAATGGCTAAACAGAACATATTCCAATCATATATTGCTTACAAAAAACTCATCTGACCTGTGAAAACACATATAGACTGATGGTAAAGGGATTAAAAAACAAAATATTTCATGTAAAGAGAAACCAAAAATGAGCAAGAATATCCAGATTTATATCAGATAAAAGAGACTTTAAATCAGAAGCTGAGAAAGAAGACAAAGAATAACATTATATAATAATAAAAGGATCAATTCAGCAAGAGGATATAACAATTCTAGATATGTGCACCCAACACCACAGCACCCAAATTTATAAAACAAATATTACTAGACCTGTATAGAGATATAGACAGCAATACAATAATATTGAGAGAATTTAGAACTCCCATCACAACACAGAGAAATCACCAGGAGATAAAATCTTCTAAGAATTATTGGGTTTAAACTGAACTTTAGACCAAATAGACCTAACAAACTGTACAGCATATTCTATTCAACAACTACAGACTACACACTCTTCTTATCAGCACTTGAAACATTCTCCAAGATCGACCATATATTAGGGCACCAAACAAGTCTCAAAAAGTTCTTTTTTTTTTTTGAGATGGAGTTTTGCTCTTGTTGCCCAGCCTGGAGTGTAATGGCACGATCTCGGCTCACCACAACCTCCGCCTCCCAGGTTCAAGCGATTCTCCCGCCTCAGCCTCCCTAGTAGCTGGGATTACAGGCATGTGCCACCATGCCTGGCTAATTTAGTATTTTTAGTATAGACGGGGTTTCTCCATGTTGGTCAGGCTGGTCTCAAACTCTCGACCTCAGGTGATCTGCCCGCCTCAGCCTCCCAAAATGCTGGGATTACAGGCATGAGCCACTACGCCCGGCCTCAAAAAGTTCTTAAAAATTTAAATCATATAAAGTATCTTTTTAGACCACAACAAAATCCAACTCTAAATATTGTGGGATCTGGCCAGCAGCCCACAATGCAACGGGGCTCTCTTTGTTCCCAGGCGGATCGGCAGGTTGAGAAATAATAGACACACACAAGATAGTGAAAGCTGGGTCCAGGGGGGTCACCACCTTCTGGTCCCGTGGTGCCAACAATGCACTGGATATACCAGCATTTACTATTAAGTTTAGTGAGGGCAGGGGTAGGTTAGTGAGGGATTTAGGGTTATTTGATTATGAGGTGAGATGGTTACATGGGGATGAAGTAATTCTTTAACATAACATTTGTATGCAGAAGTACAGTATACAGAGATAAGAATTACAATATAGTGTGTGCGTCAGTAATTTCTAACAGAGCCTTAAAACAGAAACACAATCTTTCCATAACCTATGATTAACAAGATATTAATCAGCAGTAACAGTTGCAGCAAAAGCTGGTTACAAACAATCCACAGAAACAGGACATGAAGCTAGACAACCGGTTAGACCAGAAATTCTCAGAAGGGAGTATGCCTTAACCCTAAAGAGGCCTAGAAGAACTGTGGCAAGATGAGGGCGTTTATAGCCCTATCTTATCCATATGGACAGGCGCCCCCCATGCGTCTGTTTATAGTCTCTCCACAAGGTTTGCATTCCATTCCCAGAGCTATGAACATCTGCTTTTCTGGGATAGGAATCTTGGTGATGTGAAACCTCCCTGACTGCACATTCATTCATAGGCTCTCTGCAGGGGGAAGCACATCACGTGCTGTTGGCTCATTCTGGCAGTCCAACTTGGCATTGTCTTTACACAATCCTGTGTGCAATTTTGTATTTACAGTAATCAGGAGCATTTCATCTTTTATTCTGTAGCAATAGTTTCAGGGGGTCTCCCTACATATAAATCAATACTGAGAGAATCTTTGGAAACTATACAAATGCATAGAAATTAACCAACATGCTCCTGAGTCATCCTTGAGTAAACAAAAAATTAAGCTGTAAATTAAACTTTTTTAAACACATGAAAATGGAAACACACATACCCAAATCTCTGGAGTACATCAAAAGTAGTATTAAGGGGAAAGTTTATAGAATTAAATGCCTACGTCAAAAAGTAGAAAGATCACAAATTTACAACCTAATATTGCATCTCAACAAACCTGGAAAACAAGAAAATACCAAACTCAAAGTTAGAAAAAGAAAAGAAATGACAAAGATCAGGGCAGATTTAAATTGAATTGAGACAAAAAATACAAAGAGGAATATAAGGAATCAATGAAATATAAAGTTGGTTCTTCAAAAAGGTTTTAAAAATTGGTAAACCTCTAGCTAGACTAATCAGGAAAATAAGAAAGAAGATCCACATGAACAAAATCATATATTAAAACAAATGAAGGCGTTATATGGCAAACCCATAGCCAACATCATACTGAATAAGGGGAAGTTGAAACCATTCCCTCTATGAACTGGGACAAAACAAGGATGCCCACTTTCACCATTCTTATTCAGCATAGTACTGGAAATTCTAGGTGGAACAGAGAAAATAAAATTATCCCTGTTCACTGATGTCATAACCTCATATCTATAAAACCCTAAAGACTCCAACAAAAAAACTCTGAGAATTGATAAATCAATCAAGTTTCAGGATACAAAATCAACATATAACCATTGGTAGCATTTATATACACCAATAATAATTCAGCTAAGTACCAAATCAAGAAGACAACTCCATTTATAATAGCTACAAAAAAATCTACAAATATATTTAACCAAGGCAGTAAAAGACCTCTACAAGAAAATATACAAGACACTGATGAAATAAATTGTGGATGACATAAACAAATGGAAAAACACCACGTAGTCATTAATCAGAAAGATCAATATTGTTAAAATGACTATACTGCCCAAAGCAATCTACAGATGCAATACAAACCCTATCAAAATATCAATGTGATATTTCAAAGAACTAGAGAAAACAACCCTAAAATCATATGGAACCAAAAAAAGAGCCCAAATAGGAAAATAAATTCTGAGAATAAAGAACAAAAACGGAAGAATCACATTACATTGTTCAAATTATACTACATGGCTGTAGAAATCAAAACAGCATCGTACTGGTATAAGATGGACACATAAATCATTGGTATAGAATATGGAAGCCAGAAAAGGGTCCACACACTTACAACAAACTGATCATTGACAAAGTCAACAAAAGAATGCATTGTGGAAAAGACATCCTTTTCAAAAATGGTGCTGGGAAAATTGGATTTTCATATGCAGAATGATACTGGACCCCTTTCATTCACCATATACAAAATTTAACTGAATTATTGGGCATTTCTGCATTGTTATAAAGAAATACATTAGACAGCATAATTTATAAAGAAACAATGTTTAATTGGCTCATAATTTTGAAGGATATACATGAGACAGCACCAATATTGCTCAGCTTCTGCGGAGGCTTCAGGGAGCTTTTATTCATGGCAGAAGTTGAAGTGGGAGCTTGTGTGCCACATGGCAAAAGCAGGAGCAAGAGAGGAAGAGTGGATGGGGAGGTGCCACACACTTTTAAAGCACCAGATCTCATTCAAACTCAGAACTAGATGTTATTTATTACTAAGGGAGTGGCCCAAGCCATTTATAAGAGATCTGCTGCCATGAATCAAACATCTCCCACCAGGGCCCAACTCCAACATCAGAGATTACAATTCAACATGCAATTTGGCTGGAGACAAATATCCCAACTATATGAGATGGATTAAAGATTTAAATGTAAGGCCTAAAGCTATAAAAAATACTAGAAGACAACCTAAAGAAAACTTTTCTAGACATTGATGTAGGAAAAAATTCACAACTAAGACTTCCAAAGCACAAGAAACAGAAACAAAAAATAGACAAATGGACTTAAAGAGCTTCTGTAAAACAAAAGAAATAAAAGATTGAACAGACAACCTGCAGGATGGGAGAAAATATTTGAAAACTATTAATACAGGGAGGAATTAATATCCAGAATTTATGAAGAACTCAAAAAACAAAAACAACAACAAAATCAAATAACCCTATAAAGAAGTGAGCAAAAGAAAAATAGACATTTTTCAAAAGAAGACATGCATATAGCCAACAAGTATATAAAAATGCTTATTGTCACTAATCATCAAAAAGTAAAATTTAAAATTAAAATGAGGTATTATCTTACACCAGTCAGAAGGGCAATAATAAAAAAGACAAAAAATAACAAATGCTGGTGAGGATGTGGAGAAAGTTGAGTGCTCGTATACTGTTGAAGCAAATATAAATTACTACAACCTCTATGAAAAACAGTATGGAGATTTCTCAAGGAATTAAAAATGGAAATACCATTGAATCCTATAATCTCACTACTGGGTATATATCCCCCCAAAAAGAAATAATTATATGAAAATATTACATACACTTGTGTGTTTATTACAGATCCTTTACAATAGCAAATATATGGAATCGACTTATGTATCCATCAATGGATGATTGAATACAGAAAATGTGGTATATATACACAGTGGAATACTATTCAGCCATAAAATAATGAGATCATTTCTTTTGCAGCAACATGGATGGAAGAAGAGGTCATTGTCTTATGAAAAGTAGACACAGAAAGAAAAATGTCACATGTTCTCAGTTACACATGGGAGCTAAATAATGAGCACATATGGTCACAAAGTTTAGAATAATAAACAATGGAGACTCCAAAGAGTGTGAGAAGAAGGAGTGTGTTGAATAGTGAGAAATTACTTAATGGATACTTTATTTCTGCAATGGATAAATTAAAAGTCCTGCCTTCTCCAGTATACGATACATCTATGTAATGATATTACACTTGTATCCCAACAAATTTATACAAATAAAAATATTCTATGTTTTGTAAACAAATTTGAAAGAATAAAGTAGAACTGCATGTATTGATATGGGAAAGTTTCCAAGGATTAGTGTAAAGAAAAATAAAAGCCAGTTGTCATAAACATAAGAATCAAATTACATAAAACATAAACAAAATTAAATGTTTATATACAAATAAGTACACACTGGGATACTCATATGAGAATGCATGTGTTCTTTTGTACATGGGTGTGTAAATTCATGTAAATTCTATTGAATAACACCAATTGTGAGGCTTCATTAAAAAAGTAGAAGGTGATAGGGTGAGTGATAAAGGATTTCCCACTTTTAGGCTGTATAATTACATACTGATATGGTTTGGCTGTGTTCCCACCCAAATCTCATCTTGAATTATAACCTCCATAATCCCCAGATGTCATGAGAGGGACAGTGATTGGATCATGGGGGCAGGATCCTCCATGCTGTTCTGGTGACAGTGAATTAGTTCTCATGAGATCTGATGGTTTTATAGGCATCTGGCATTTCCCCTACTTGCACTTACTCTATCCTGCTGCCCTGTGAAGAAGGTGCCTGTTTCTCCATTGCCTTCCACCATGATGGTAAATTTCCTGAGACATCCCAAGCAATGTGTAAGTGTGAGTCAATTAAACCTCTTTTCTTTATAAATTACTCAGTCTTGGGTATTTTTTTTTTAGAGCAGCATGAGAATGGACTAATACATATAAAATTTGAATTGTTCCTGTTGTTTCTTTTTTCTCTTAAAAGACAGGGTCATACTCTGTCACCCAGGCTGGAGTGCAGTGTCGTAATCATAGCCCACTGCAGCCTTGACCTTCTGGATTCAAGTAATCCCCCCACCTCAGCTTCTCAAGTTGCTAGGACTACAGGAAAATGCCAACATGTCCAGCTATTTTTCAATTTTTTTATTGTAGTGATGGGGTATTACTCTGTTGCTCAGACTGGTCTCAATCTTCTGGCCTCAAGTAATCCTCTCGCCTCGGCCTCCCAAAGTGGTGAGATTGCAGGTGTGAGTTACTGTGCCCAGTCTGAATTGTTTTTAATGACATAAACTAGATTGTTTTCAATTAATAAATAAAATAGTCAAGGTCAATAATTTCCTGCTGATATTTGAACACTTTGTAAATTTTTTCACTTATAACGTACTCTGAAAATATAAATGTGTTCATTACAAGTATATAATTACTTTACATTTTTGAGTTGGTCAGTAGAGAAGTCATGCATTCCTTTTATGTCAGCTGAGTGTTTTTTTTGTTTGTTGACTGGCTATAAAATATATTTAGTCAGATATTCCATACATAACATCTTTATGGTTAAAGTGAGAAGATCTTTGTACTAAATATAATAATGAAACAATTGAGGAACTTTCTATCTTACACATTTGTTTTTCTCTTCCAAGTGCTCTAAGACAAAATGATATTGTAATAATTATTTTTTAATTTTATCTTATCTTGAGACAGAATCTCACTCTGTCACCCAGGCTGGAGTGCAGTGGCATGATCTTGGCTCACTGCAACCTCCACCTCCCAGGTTCAAGTGATTCTCCTGCCTCAGCCTCCTGAGTAGCTGGAATTACAGGTGTGTATCACTATGCCCTGCTAATTTTTGTATTTTAATAGAGATGAGGTTTCACCATGTTGGTCAGTCTGGTCTCGAACTCCTGACCTCAACTTATCCATCTGCCTTGGCCTCCCAAAGTGCTGGGATTAGAGGTGTAAACCATAACTCCTGGCCTCATATTGTAAGAATTATGTTCAGAAGATATATTTTGAAATGCTCCTGACATATAATTTTAGGTAATTTTTATATAACTAGCACAAGAATATGTCCATGAACAACAGGATTTACTGCCAAAATATAATCAACAGTGTCTACATGCATAGCTGATTTATGAAAAAATCTTTTAAAACATAATTTACATTTCAATAATTTGATTTATAGAACTGTGACAGATATAGAAGACAAGTGATGGATTTTTTATATTGGTGCTCCTCACACTACTAAATTTGAGGTTGTGTTGGTATTTCCATTATAAACTCTTAATTTTAGGTATTTATAACTTGCAAAAATTCATTCAAATTGAAAACTTATTTTCTGCTTAAGAATTTCAAATCAGATCATTGAAGAAAGCAGGAAAAGAGTAGAGAAGAGAACATACCAATTAAGACACATTGCTACGCAAATGGAATAAAAGACTTTCAGAGACAGTGAATTACTACACAGAGAAGAGTTTCTGCACATTATTTCTTTTCCAAGAGCCTTAAAGTTTTCACAGAATGTTAACTTGTGGAAAAATAGTAAAAAGAAATAATCGAGGGTTATTTTGGTGCTTCAGGAAACACTTGGTAAAATCTGGAAACATTTTGATTGTTGCACCAAGCTAGGATAAAATAACAAGGAATGGGGAGTGAGCAGGGTTTACTGACTTTTAATGTGTAGAGGTTAGAGATGCAGCTAATTATCTTACAATGCATCGAACACCATCCTGGGGTCACAGGCAAAGGGAGCTTCCAACTGAAATTGGTAGTGGTTTTGACGGACACAAATTTTCTTGAGTGGAGCCTTGAGGAGAAGCAGGGGCTGCTGCGGATGTGAACGAGCTTAGGAACTCAGAAACTGACACTGATGGAGTGGGCAGACAGGGCAGGGTAAGGTCTGAAAGCCATGCTTGCTTTCTCAGTGGGGTAGCTCACAGGCTGGGGCAAGATGTGTGTAGGACACTGCAGGAGCGATACTGGCCTCACGAACTATGGCGGAGCTGGGTAAGGCCTCTTGCTACTGGCTATTCCCCATTCACTGGTGAACTATATGACACGGAAGAGGTGGCCAAGATGCCCTCTGGAACACAACACGATTGGCCTGAGGACCACCCCCCACCATCTCCCACAGTGGTCATGGCAAACCCACCCAAGGAGAGTCTGACCCCAGATCTGTCTAGCCCTGTCACTACCTGATGGTATTTCCCTTCCTGACATGGTAGACAAACAGAAAACATAGACATTTGGGGAGCTTTATGGCCCTGCCTATTACTTGACAAACCAAAACACTTACTCTGGCCATCTTAGGGCAAGCTTAGGGCCCCCTACTACTACCACAGCTGGTGCTATCTTGAAAGTGCCACCTCCTAGTTGGAGGTCAACCAACTCAGGCCATTACGGCAACTCATGACAGAACAACCCTGATTCCAGGCAGGAGAACAGAACACCTAATTTCACTGCTCACAGCATCCTGGCTAACTAGAGGTCTTTAGTATGTCCATGTGACAACTTCACTGCTAACATAACAAGCATTCAAGAAAGCAAGCACACTAAACATGTCTACAACCAAGGATTCTCATAGAGTCTACTTCACTTCCCTGTCACCTCTACCAGAGCAGGTGCTGGTATCCACGGCTGGGAGACTTGAAGACGGATCACATCACAGGACTCTTTGTAGATATCCAGCAGCACCAGCCAAGTCTGGTAGTCCTGCTGAGTGGCTAGACCCAGAAGAACAAAAACAATCACTGCAGTCCAACTCTCAGGAAGCCTCATCCCAAGACAAAGGAGGACAGCACCACATCAAGGGATCACCCTGTGGGACAAGAGAATCTAAAGAGCAGGCTTTGAGTTTCAGATCTCTCCACTGATATAGTATACCCAAATGAGAATGAATCAGAAAAGTAATTCTGGTAGTATGACAAAACAGGGTTCTATAACACCTCCAAAACATCACACCAGGTTTCCAGCAATCCATTCAAACAAAAAAGAAACTTCTGGATTGCTAGATAAAGAATTCAGAAGGTTGATTATTAAGCTACTCAAGGAGATAACAGAGAAAGGTAAAAAACAACTTAAAGAAGTTGAAAAAATACAGCATATAGATTAAAATTATGTCATCATGTAAAAAAAAGCAATGACAACTTCTGGAAATGAAAGACACACTTAGGGGGATACAAAATGCAGTGGAAAGTTTCAACAATGGACTAGAACAAGGAGAAGAAACAATTTCAGAGCTCAAAGACAAAGCTTTTAAATTAACACAGTCAGATAAAAACAAGTAAAACATAATAAAAGAAAAAATGATAAAGCCTCCAAGTAATCTGTGATTATGTTAAGGGGCCAAACAAAAATAATTGATGTTCCTGAGGAAGAGGAGAAATCTAAAGGTTGGAAAACTTATTTGAGTGAATAATTGAGGAAAACTTCCTTGATCTTGCTAGAGATCTAGACATCCAAATATAAGAAGCTCAAAGAACACATGAGAAAGTTATAAAAAAAAAATAACCACCTAGACATATTAATCAGGTTATCTAAAGTCAAGATGAAGGGAAGAATTTTAAGGGCTGAGAGACAAAAGCATCAAATAACATATAAAGGAAAACCTATCAGATTAACAGCAGATTTCTCAGAAGAAAGCTTACAAGCCAAAAGGAATTGGGGTTCTATTTTTAGCCTCCTAAAACAAAATAATTATTAGACAAGAAATTTGTTCCAGCAACACTAAGCTTCATAAATGAAGGAGAAATAAATTCTTTTTCAGACAAATAAATGCTAAGATAATTCACCACTACTAAGCCAGCACTACAGGAAATGCTAAAAGGAGTTCTAAATCTTGAAACAAACCCTCAAAATACACCAAAATAGATCCTCCTTAAAGCATAAGTCTCACAGGGCCTATGAAACAATAACATAATGAGAAAAAAAACAAGATATTAGGCAACAAATAACATGAAGAATAGAACAATACCTCACATCTCCATATTAATGTTGAATGTAGATGCCTTAAATGATTAATTTACAAGATACAGAGTGGCAGAATGGATATAAATTCACCAATCAAGTATCTGCTGTTTTCAAGAGACTCACTTAACACATAAGAACTCACATAAATTTCAGGTAAAGGGATAAAAAAAATTCATGCACATGGAAACCAAAAGCAAGCATAAACAGCTATTTTTATATCAGACAAAATAGACTTTAAAGCAGCAACAGTAAAAAAGACAAAGAGTGACATTATATAACAATAAAAAGAATAGTCAAGCAGGACAGTGTCACAATCCTAAATATATATGCACCTAACACTGGAGCTTCCAAACTTACAAAACAATTAATACCAGACTTAAGAAATGAGATAGATGGTGACACAATAACAGCAGGGCACTCCAATACTCCACTGACAGCACTAGGCAGGTCATCAAAAAAAGAGCCAACAATAAAAAATTGACTTAAATTATACACTAGAACTAAATAACTTAACAGATATTTACAGAATATTCTACCCAGAAACAACAAAATGTACTTTCTTTTCTTTACCATGTGAACATTCTCCAAGACTGACCATATGACAAGTCACAAAAGAAATCTCAATAAAATAAAAAAATGAAAATTATATCAAGTATCCACTTAGACCACTGTGGAATAAAACTGGAAATTAACTCTAAAGCAAACCCTCAAAATTATGAAAATATATGAAAATTAAATAATCTGCTTTTGAATGATCTTTGGGTCAAAAATGAAATCAAGATAAATATTAAAATTTTTTTTGAACTGAATCTAATAGTGATAAAACTTATTAAAACCTCTGGAATACAGCAAAAGTGGTGCTAAAAGTTTATAGCATTAAATGCCTATATCCAAGAGTCTGAAAGAGCAAAAATAGCAACAATCTAAGGTCACACCTTAAGGAACTAGAGAAGCAGGAACATACCAAACCCAAACCCAGCAGAACGAAGGAACTAACAAAGATCAGAGTAGAACTAGATAAAATTGAAACAACAATAAAAAGATACAAAAGCTAAATAAAGCTGGTTATTTGAAAAGATAAATAAAATTAATAAACCATTAGTGAGATTAACCAAGAAAAGAAGAGAGAAGAATCAAATAAGCTCAATTAGATGTTACAACTGATACCAGAGAAATACAAAAGTTCATTCAAGGGTACTATGAACACCTTTACACACAAAGTAGAAAATTTAAAGGAGACAGATAAATTGTTGGAAATATATAACTCCCTCCCAGATTAAATCAGGGAGAAATAGAGGCTCTGAATAGACCAATGACAAGTAGCTAGATTGAAACAGTAATTTAAAAAATTGCTGACAAACTCAGGACCAAATTGATTCACAGCTGAATTGTATCAGACATTCAAAGAAGAATTGATACCAATCTTACTGAAACTATTTCAAAATTTAGAGAAAGAGGGACTCCTCCCTGAATCATTCTATGAAGCTTGTATTACTGTAATTTTAAAACCAGAAAAGGACATAACAAAAAATGAAAACTACAGATCAATATCCCTAATGAACATAGATAGAAAAATCTTCAACAAAATGCTAGCTAACCAAATCCAACAGCATATCAGAAAGATAATTCACCATGATCAAGTGGGTTTTATACCAGGGATACAGGGATGTTTGAACATATGCAAATCAATAAATGTCATATATCACATACACAGAATTAAAAACAATAAGTATATAATCATACCAACAGATGCAGAAAAAGCATTTGACAAAATCTAGCATATCCCTTTATGATTAAAACCCTCAGCAAAATTGGTATAGGAGAGACACACCTCAAGGTAACAAAAGCCATCTATGACAACCACAGCCAACATTATACTAAATGCGGAAAAGTTGAAAGCATTCCTCCTGAGAACTGGAACAAAACAAGGACACCCAGTTTGATTACTTCTATTGAACATAGTAGTGGGAGTCTTTGCCAGAGCAATTAGACAAGAGAGTGAAATGAAAGGCATCCAAATTGGGAAAGAGGAAGTCCAACTGTTGCCGTTCACTGATGATAGGATCATATACCTAGAAAACCCTAAAGACTCATCCAAAAAGTTTCTAGATCTGATAAATGAATTCAGTACAGTTTCAGGATACAAAATCAGTGTACACAAATTAATAGCACTGCAATACACCAAAAATAAACAAGCTGAGAAACAAATTAAGAACTCAATCCCTTTTACAAGAGCTACAAAAAAATTTTACAAAATACTAGAAATATACCTAACAAAGAAGGTAAAGGATCTTTACAAGGAAAACTACAAAACACTGCTGAAGGAAACTACCAACAACAAAAACAAATGAAAACACTTCTCATGCTCATGAATGGGTAGAATCAATATTGTGAAAATGACCATATGGCCAAAAGCAATCTACAGATTCAATGCAATTACCATCAAAGTACCATCATCATTCTTCACAGAATTAGAAAAAAAATCCTAAAATTTATACAGAACCAAAAAGAACCCACATAGCCTAGAAAGACTAAGCAAAAAGAACAAATCTGGAGGCATCATATTACTCAAATTCAAGCTATACTACAAGGATATAGTTAACAAAACAGCATAGTCCTCGTATAAAAATAGGCATGTAGAGTGGTTGAACAGAATAGAGAACCCAGATATAAAGCCAAATACTTACGCCAACTGATCATCAACAAAACAAACAAAAACTTAAAGTGGGGAAAGGACACCTTATTCAACAAATGGTTCTGGGATAATTAGCAAGCCACATGTAGAAGAATGAAACTGGATGCTTATCTCCACCTTATACAAAAATCAAATCAAGATGGATCAAAGACTTAAATCTAAGTCCTGAGGCTATAAAAATTCTGGAAGATAACATCAGAAAAACTCTTCTAGACATTGTCTTAGGCAAAGAATTCATGACCAAGAACACAATAGCAAATGCAACAAAAACAAACAAATGAGATGTAATTAAACTAAAATCTTCTGCACAGCAAAAGAAATAATCAACAAACAGACAACCCACAGATTAGGTGAGAAAATATTCCCAAACTATGCATCCAACAAAGGACTAATATCCAGAATCTACAATGAACTCAAACAAATCAGCAAGAAAAAAATGATCTCATCAAAAATAGGCAAAGGTATGAATAAACAATTTTCAAAAGAAGATATACAAATGGCCAACAAACATTTTAGAAATTCTCAACATCATGAATTATCAGGTTAATGCAAATTAAAATTACAATGAAATATCACTTTACTCCTGCAAAAGTGGTCATAAATAAAAAAAAAAAGATGTTGGTATGCATGTGGTGAAAAGGGAACACTTTTACACTGCTGGTGAGAATGTAAATTAGCACAACTACTATGAAAAAACAGTATGGAGATTCCTTAAACAACTAAAAGTAGAACTACCATTTGATCCCGCAGTCCCACTGCTGTGTATCCACCAGAGGAAAAGAAGTCATTATATGAAAAAGACACTTGCACACGCATATTTATAGCAGGACAATTCCTAATTACAAAAATATGGAACCACCCTAAATACCCATCAACCACTGAGTGGATAAAGAAAATGTGATAGACATACACCATGAAATACTACTCAGCCATAAAAAGGAATGAAATAATGAATTTTGCATCAACTTGGATGGAACTGGAGGCCATTATTCTAAGTGAAGTAACTCAGGAATCAAAAACCAATATTATCTGTTCTTACTTATAATTGGGAGCTAAGCTATGAGGATGCAAAGGCAAAAGAATGATATAATGGACATTGGGGACTCAAGGAAATGTGGGGAAGGGTGCTGAGGGATAAAAGACTACACTTTGGGTACAGTATATACACTCTTTTGACAGGTGTACCAAAGTCTCAGAAATTACCATTAAATTACTTATCCATGTAGTCAAAAACCACCTGTTCCCCAAACAATTAAAAGTTTATGTTAAAAAATAGGGGTTTCAGCAGCCCATGATGAAAAAAAAAACACTTCGTTCATTCATATGTGTTCATATTCAGCTAATTGATGTTCTTTATGCTAATTTTTTGTTTCTTATTGAAGTCCTAGTTAATAGTAGTTTCTACCAGGACCTGAAAATTCTACATTCTATGTTATTTATGGAAACTGAAGTTTGTTGGTGTCTACCAGCTAGAGTGAATAAAGATAGAATATTCTGATAAGAGTAGCAGTTCTTTCTGCAAACATTGTTCCTATGCTGTTTTCTTTTCCAGATTTAGTTATACCACTGAACCTTAAAAACTGACAATCTCAAAAACACATTGCATGAATGAATAAAGAGTCTTTCTGACTTCAAAGCTTAAATAATTCTAATATTTGGTTAAATATTTTTCAAAGAGTGTGAATTTTTTTTTTGTAGTGTTACAGTTCTTTTTTTTATATGCTTTAAGTTTCAGGGTACATGTGCACAACGTACGGGTTTGTTACATATGTATACATGTGCCATGTTGGTGTGCTGTACCCACCAACTAGTCATTTAGCATTAGGTATATCTCCTAATGTTATCCCTCACCCCTCCCCTGACCCCACAACAGTCCCCGGTGTGTGATGTTCCCCTTCCTGTGTCCATGCGTTCTCATTGTTCAATTCCCACCTATGAGTGAGAACATGTGGCATTTGGTTTTTTGTCCTTGTGATAGTTTGCTCAGAATGATGGTTTCCAGCTTCATCCATGTCCCTACAAAGGACATGAGCTCATCATTTTTTATGGCTGCATAGTATTCCATGGTGTATATGTGCCACATTTTCTTAATCCAGTCTATCATTGTTGGACATTTGGGTTGGTTCCAAGTCTTTTCTATTGTGAATAGTGCTGCAATAAGCATACATGTGCATGTGTCTTTATAGCAGCATGATTTAAAATCCTTTGCATATATACCCAGTAATGGGATGGCTGGGTCAAATGGTATTTCTCGTTCTAGATCCCTGAGGAATTGCCACACCGACTTCCACAATGGTTGAACTAGTTTACAGTCCCACCAACAGTGTAAAAGTGTTCCTATTTCTCCACATCCTCTCCAGCACCTGTTGTTTCCTGACTTTTTCATGATCACCATTCTAACTGGTGTGAGATGGTATCTCATTGTGGTTTTGATTTGCATTTCTCTGATGGCCAGTGATGATGAGCATTTTTTCATGTGTTTTTTGTCTGCATAAATGTCTTCTTTTGAGAAGTGTCTGTTCATATCCTTCACCCACTTGTTGATGGGGTTGTTTGTTTTTTTCTTGTAAATTTGTTTGCGTTCATTGTAGATTCTGGATATTAGCCCTTTGTCAGATGAGTAGGTTGCGAAATTTTTCTCCCATTTTGTAGGTTGCCTGTTCACTCTGATGGTAGTTTCTTTTGCTGTGCAGAAGCTCTTTAGTTTAATTAGATCCCATTTGTCAATTTTGGCTTTTGTTGTCATCGCTTTTGGTGTTTTAGACATGAAGTCGTTGCCCATATCTATGTCCTGAATGGTATTGCCTAGGTTTTCTTCTAGGATTTTTGTGGTTTTAGGTCTAACATGTAAGTCTTCAATCCATCTTGAATTAATTTTTGTATAAGGTGTAAGGAAGGGATCCAGTTTCAGCTTTCTAAATCTGGCTAGCCAGTTTTCCCAGCACCATTTATTAAATAGGGAATCCTTTCCCCATTGCTTGTTTCTGTCAGGTTTGTCAAAGATCAGATATTTGTAGATATGTGGCATTATTTCTGAGGACTCTGTCCTGTTCCCTTTGTCTATATCACTGTTTTGGTACCAGTACCATGCTGTTTTGGTTACTGTAGCCTTGTAGTTTAGTTTGAAGTCAGGTAGCCTGATGCCTCCAGCTTTGTTCTTTTGGCTTAGGATTGACTTGGAAATGCAGGCTCTTTTTTGGTTCCATATGAACTTTAAAGTAGTTTTTTCCAATTCTGTGAAGAAAGTCATTGGTTGCTTGATGGGGATGGCATTGAATCTATAAATTACCTTGGGCAGTATGGCCATTTTCATGATATTGATTCTTCCTGCCCAGGAGCATGGAATGTTCTTCCATTTGTTTGGATCCTCTTTTATTTCATTGAGCAGTGGTTTGTAGTTCTCCTTGAAGAGGTCCTTCACATCCCTTGGAAGTTGGATTCCCAGGTATTTTGTTCTATTTGAAGCAATTGTGAATGCGAGTCCACTCATGATTTGGCTCTCTGTTTGTCTGTTATTGGTGTATAAGAATGCTTGTGATTTTTGCACATTGATTTTGTATCCTGAGACTTTGCTGAAGTTGCTTATCAGCTTAAGGAGATTTTGGGCTGAGACAATGGGGTTTTCTAGATATACAATCATGTCATCTGCAAACAGGGACAATTTGACTTCCTCTTTTCCTAATTGAATGCCCTTTATTTCCTTCTCCTGCCTGATTGCCCTGGCCAGAACTTCCAACACTATGTTGAAAAGGAGTGGTGACAGAGGGCATCCCTGTCTTGTGCCAGTTTTCCAAGGGAATGCTTCCAGTTTTTGTCCATTCAGTATGATATTGGCTGTGGGTTTGTCATAGATAGCTCTTATTATTTTGAGATATGTCCCATCAATACCTAATTTATTGAGAGTTTTTAGCATGAAGCATTGTTGAATTTTGTCAAAGGCCTTTTCTGCATCTATTGAGATAATCATGTGGTTTTTGTCTTTGGTTCTGTTTATATGCTGGATTATGTTTATTGATTTTTGTCTGTTGAACCAGCCTTGCATCCCAGGGATGAAGCCCACTTGATCATGGTGGATAAGTTTTTTAATGTGTTGCTGGATTCGGTTTGCAAGTATTTTATTGAGGATTTTTGCATCGATGTTCATCAAGGATATTGGTCTAAAATTCTTTTTTTGTTGTTGTTGTGTCTCTGCCAGGCTTTGGTATCAGGATGATCCTGGCCTCATAAAATGAGTTAGGGAGGATTTCCTCTTTTTCTATTGATTGGAATAGTTTCAGAAGGAATGGTACCAGCTCCTCCTTGTACCTCTGGTAGTATTCGGCTGTGAATCCATCTGGTCCTGGACTTTTTTTGGTTGGTAAGCTATTAATGATTGCCTCAATTTCAGATCCTGTTATTGGTGTATTCAGAGATTCAACTTCTTCCTGGTTTAGTCTTGGGATAGTGTATGTATCGAGGAATTTATCCATTTCTTCCAGATTTTCTAGTTTATTTGTGTAGAGATGTTTGTAGTATTCTCTGATGGTAGTTTGTATTTCTGTGGGATTGGTGGTGATATCCCCTTTGACATTTTTTATTGTGTCTATTTGATTCTTCTCTCTTTTCTTCTTTATTAGTCTTGCTAGCGGTCTATCTATTTTGTTGATCTTTTCAAAAAACCAGCTCCTGGATTCATTGATTTTTTGAAGGGTTTTTTGTGTCTCTATTTCCTTCAGTTTTGCTCTGATTTTAGTTATTTCTTGCCTTCTGCTAGCTTTTGTATGTGTTTGCTCTTGCTTTTCTAGTTCTTTTCATTGTGATGTTAGGGTGCCAATTTTGGATCTTTCCTGCTTTCTCTTGTGGGCATTTAGTGCTATAAATTTCCCTCTACACACTGCTTTGAATGTGACCCAGAGATTCTGGTATGTTGTGTCTTTGTTCTCGTTGGTTTCAAAGAACATCTTTATTTCTGCCTTCATTTGGTTATGTACCCAGTAGTCATTCAGGAGCAGGTTGTTCAGTTTCCATGTAGTTGCGTGGTTTTGAGTGAGTTTCTTAATCCTGAGTTCTAGTTTGATTGCACTGTGGTCTGAGAGACAGTTTGTTATAATTTCTGTTCTTTTACATTTGCTGAGGAGAGCTTTACTTCCAAGTATGTGGTCAACTTTGGAATAGGTGTGGTGTGGTGCTGAAAAAAATGTATCTTCTGTTGATTTGGGGTGGAGAGTTCTGTAGATGTCTATTAGGTCCGCTTGGTGCAGAGCTGAGTTCAATTGCTGGATATCCTTGTTAACTTTCTGTCTCATTGATCTGTCTAATGTTAACAGTGGGGTGTTAAAGTCTCCCAGTATTATTGTGTGGGAGTCTAAGTCTCTTTGTAGGTCACTCAGGACTTACTTTATGAATCTGGGTGCTCCTGTATTGGGTGCATATATATTTAGGAAAGTTAGTTCTTCTTGTTGAATTGATCCCTTTACCATTATGTAATGGCCTTCTTTGTCTCTTTTGATCTTTGTTGGTTTAAAATCTGTTTTATCAGAGACTAGGATTGCAACCCCTGCCTTTTTTTGTTTTCCATTTGCTTGGTAGATCTTCCTCCATCCTTTTATTTTGAGCCTATGTGTGTCTCTGCACGTGAGATGGGTTTCCTGAATACAGCACACTGACGGGTCTTGGCCCTTTATCCAATTTGCCAGTCTGTGCCTTTTAATTGGAGCATTTAGCCCATTTACATTTAAGGTTAATATTGTTATGTGTGAATTTGATCTTGTCATTATGATAGTAGCTGGTTATTTTACTCATTAGTTGATGCAGTTTCTTCCTAGCCTTGATGGTCTTTATAATTTGGCATGTTTTTGCAGTGGCTGGATATGTTTCCATGTTTAGTGCTTCTTTCAGGAGCTCTTGTAGGGCAGGCCTGGTGGTGACAAAATCTCTCAGCGTTTGCTTGTTTGTAAAGTATTTTATTTCTCCTTCACTTATGAAATTTAGTTTGGCTGGATATGAAATTCTGAGTTGATAATTCTTTTCTTTAAGAGTGTTGAATATTGGCCCCCACTCTCTTCTGGCTTGTAGAGTTTCTGCCGAGAGATCAGCTGTTAGTCTGATGGGCTTCCCTTTGTGGGTAACCCAACCTTTCTCTCTGACTGCCATTAACATTTTTTCCTTCATTTCAACTTTGGTGAATCTGACAATTATGGAACTTGGAGTTGCTCTTCTCAAGGAGTATCTTTGTGGCATTCTCTGTATTTCCTGAATCTGAATGTTGGCCTGCCTTGCTAGATTGGGGAAGTTCTCCTGGATAATATCCTGCAGAGTGTTTCCCAACTTGGTTCCATTCTCCCCTTCACTTTCAGGTACACCAATCAGATGTAGATTTGGTTTTTTCACATAGTCCCATATTTATTGGAGGCTTTGTTCTTTTCTTTTTATTCTTTTTTCTCTAAACTTCTCTTCACACTTCATTTCATTCATTTTGTCTTCCATCGCTGATACCCTTTCTTCCAGTTGATTGCATCGGTTACTGAGGCTTGTGCATTCATCACGTAGTTCTTGTGTCATGGTTTTCAGCCTCATCAGGTCCTTTAAGGACTTCTCTGCATTGGTTATTTTAGTTATCCATTCATCTAATTTTTTTTTCAAAGTTTTTTACTTCTTTGCCATTGGTTCGAACTTCCTTCTTTAGTTCGGAGTAGTTTGATCTTCTGAAGCCTTCTTCTCTCAACTCGTCAAAGTCATTCTCCATCCAGCTTTGTTCCATTTCTGGTGAGGAGCTGTGTTCCTTTGGAGGAGGAGAGGTGCTCTGATTTTTAGAGTTTCTAGTTTTTCTGCTCTGTTTTTTCCCCATCTTTGTGGTTTTCTCTGTCTTTGGTCTTTGATGATGGTGACGTACAGATGGGTTTTGGTGTGGATGTCCTTTCTGTTTTTTAGTTTTCCTTCTAACAGTCAGGACCCTCAGCTGCAGGTCTGTTGGAGTTTACTGGAGGTCCACTCCAGACCCTGTTTGCCTGGGTATCAGCAGCGGTGGCTGCAGAACAGCAGATACTGGTGAACCACAAATGCTGCTGCCTGATTGTTCCTCTGGAAGTTTTGTCTCAGAGGAGTACCCAGCTGTGTGAGGTGTCAGCCTGCCACTACTGGGGGGTTCCTCCCAGTTAGGCTACTCGGGGGTCAGGGTCCCACTTGAGGAGGCAGTCTGCCTGTTCTCAGATCTCAAGCTGGGAGAACCACTACTCTCTTCAAAGCTGTCAGACAGAGACATTTAAGTCTGCAGAGGTGATTGCTGTCTTTTGTTTGTCTGTGCCCTGCCCCCAGAGGTGGAGCCTACAGAGGCAGGCAGTCCTCCTTGAGCTGTGGTGGGCTCCACCCAGTTCGAGCTTCCAGGCTGCTTTGTTTACCTACTCAAGCCTGGGCAATGGCAGGCGCCCCTCCCCCAGCCTCGCTGCCACCTTGCAGTTTGATCTCAGACTGCTGTGCTAGCAATGAGTGAGGCTCTATGCGCATAGGACCCTCCAAGGCAGGTGCAGGATATAATCTCCTGGTGTGCCGTTTGTTAAGCCCATTGGAAAAGTGCAGTATTAGGGTGGGAGTGACCCGATTTTCCAGGTGCCATCTGTCACCCCTTTCTTTGACTAGTAAAGGGAATTCCCTGACCCCTCGCGCTTCCCAGGTGAGGTAATGCCTCGCCCTGCTTTGGCTCATGCAGGGTGTGCTGCACCCACTGTCCTGCACCCATTGTCCGGCACTCCCCAGTGAGATGAACCCGGTACCTCAGTTGGAAATGCAGAAATCACTCATCTTCTGCGTTGCTCAGGCTAGGAGCTGTAGACTGGAGCTCTTCCTATTCGGCCATCTTGGCTCCACTCCCCAAATGTGAATATTTCTAGAAAAGTCTTCTCTCAAAAAAAATGTGATTTACCCCATTGTCATTTCTATCTAATAGTAAGAAGAGTTAGTTGTAATCTCTACTGACATAGAAGATAGGATTTCAATTTTGGCTTTATATCAGAAGTACCCAAAGAAATTTAAAAATTCAAATGCATGTTCACTCTGATGATAGTTTCTTTTGCTATGCAGAAGCTCTTTATTTTAATTTGATCCCATTCATCAACGTCGGCTTTGGGTGCATTTGCTTTTGGTGTTTTAGTCATGAAGTCTTTGCCCATGCCTAGGTCCTGAATGGTATTGCCTAGAATTTTTTCAAGGGTGTTTATGGTTTCAGGTTTTACATTTAAGTATTTAATTCATCTTGACTTAATTTCTTTATAAGGTGTTAGGAAGGAGTCCAGTTTGAGTTTTCTGCATATGGCTAGCCAGTTTTCCCAGCACCATTTATTAAAAAAGAAAATTTTTCCCCATTGCTTGTTTTTGTCAGCTTTGTAGAAGATCATATGGTTGTAGATGTGTGGTGTTATTTTTGAGGTCTCTGTTCTGTTCCATTCGTCCACATATCTGTTTGGTACCATTACCATGATGTTTTGGTTACTGTAGCCTTGTAGTATACTTTGAAGTCAGGTGGTGTGATGCCTCCAGCTTTGTTCTTTTTGCTTAAGTTTGTCTTGGGTATAGGGGTCTTTTGGTTCCATATAAAATTTAAAGTAGTTTTTTCAATTTCTGTGAAGAAAGTCAATGGTAGCTTGATGGGAGTAGCATTGAATCTGTGAATTACTTTGGGCAGTATGGCCATTTTCTTGATATTGATTCTTCCTATGCATGAGCATGGAATTTTTTTTTTATTTGTTTATGTCCTCTCTTATTTCCTTGAGCAGTGGTTTGTAGTTCTCCTCGAAGCAGTCCTTCATGTCCCTTATAAGTTGTACTCCTAGGTATTTTATTCCTTTGTAGCAATTGTGAATGGGAATTCACTCATGATTTGGCTCTCTGTTTTTCTATTATTGGATTTTACGAATGCTTGTGATTTTTGCACATTGGTTTTGTATCCTGAGGCTTTACTGAAGTTTCTTAACAGCTTAAGGAGTTTTGGGGCTGAGACAATGGGGTTTTCTAAATACACAATCATGTCTTCTACAAACAGAGATGATTTTACTTCCTCTTGTCCTATTTGAATACTCTATTTCTTTCTCTTGCCTGATAGCCCTGACCAGAACTTCCAATATGATGTTGAATAGGAGTGGTGAGAGAGAGCATCCTTGTCTTGTGCCAATTTTCAAACAGAATGCTTCCAGCTTTTGCCCATTCAGTATGATATTGGCTATGGGTTTGTCATAAATAGCTCTTATTATTTTGGGATATTTTGATTGAACAGGCAACCTACAGAATGGGAGAACATTTTTGCAATCTATCCATCTGAAGAAGGGCTAATATCCAGAACCTATAAGAAGCATAAACAAATTTACAAGAAAAAAACAATCCCATCAAAAACTGGGCAAAGGATATGAACAGATACTTCTCAAAAGAGGACATTTATGTGGCCAACAAGCATATGAAAAAAAGTTTGTCATCACTGGTCATTAGAGAAACAAAAATCAAAACCACAATGAGATACCATCTCATGCCAGTTAGAATGACAATCATGAAAAGTCAGATAGCAACAGTTGCTGGAGATGATGTAGAGAAATGGAATGCTTTTGCACTGTTGGTGGGAGTGTAAATTAGTTCAACCATTGTGGAAGGCAGTGTGGCAAATCCTCAAGGATCTAGATCCAGAAATACCATTTGACCCAGCAATCCCATTACTGCATATCTACCCAAAGGATTATAAATCATTCTACTATAAAGAAACATGCACATGTATGTTTATTGCAGCACAATTTACAATAGTGAAGACTTGGAACCAACCCAAATGTCCATCAATGAGAGACTGGATAAAGAAAATGTGGTGCATATATACCATGGAATACTATGCAGCTATGAAAAAGAATGAGTTCATGTCTTTTGCAGGGACATGGATGAAGCTGGAAACCATCATTCTCAGCAAGCTAACACAGAAACAGAAAACCAAATGCTGCATGTTCTTACTCATAAATGGGAGTTGAAAAAAGAGAACACGTGGACACAGGAAGGGGACATCACACTCCGGGGCCTGTCGGGGGTGGGGGTCAAGGGGAGGGAGAACATTAGGACAAATAACTAGTGCATACAGGTCTTAAAACCTAGATGATGGGTTGATGGGTGCAGCAAGCCACCATGGCACCTGTATTACCTATGTAACAAACCTGCATGTTCTGTACATGTTTCCCAGAACTTAAAGTATAATAAAAAATTAATTAAAAAAACTCAAAATCTCTGAAAGAAGTATCCAGGCATCCTTATTTCTTAAAGCTATATAAGTATTTCTAACGTGTAGCTAAGATTGAAAATCACTGATCTAGAAAATCTTTTCATGTTTTCTAATTCCTTCTTAGTGTTCTCAGCTTTTCCCCATTTACCAGACATAAAACATGGAGTTCAAGAAACAGGAAGGCTAAATTATAGTTTTTCAACTTGTGGTTCCCAGATCAGTAATATCAATATCATATGGAAACTCGTTAGAAAAGTAAACTTTGGGACTTCACCCTGCATTTAGTAAATCAGAAGCTTTAGAATGGAGTGAATGGAGTGCAGCAATCTGTGTTTTAACAAGACTTCCAACTGATTCAGATGCATACACAATTTTCAGAAACACTGGCCTAAATGAATAGCATTTGGAAAAAGCAACAAAAGCTTTGAAAGATTGAAAGGAAAATAGGGAGGATTATTACAGTAATATATAATAAAAATATATGATATCACCCAATTCAAAGATTACGTGTGAACCAATGAAGGATAAGCCAAAATATCAAGATCATAATCTCTGTAGGCAGTGTGATATTGTTTATAGATGTAAATTTTTATCCAACATAACTGATAAAAATAGGCGTAACAACAAGGATTATTAATCTCTGGTCATAAGGGAGAAAGGAGAAGTTACAATTTTTTTGGATTCCAAGAAGTAATGTTATCTGGAAATTCATTTCCCAAAAAGTGTATTTTATCATATATTTTTTAAAAACTACATTTGAAAATTTACATGTAAATTTCTGTTAATAATCAAGTGTAAAGTCAACCATTTAGGAGGCTTTTTAATATAAAAATGCTAAATCAATTATCATCCAGCTAATTTTGATAATTAAAATGTTACTTTACTTACAAATTACAACTATAACATTTTGTGGCAGATTTATCATTAATTTCTAATGTGTTTCAAATATAAAAAGCTATCAAATGTAAAACTATATAAACTGCTGGGTAAAATTTCAATTATATTATGATAGAAATAAGGCTATAAATAGTTTTGGTAGGGAATTTGTTAAAAAAAAATGAAAAACCTTATGTCCCAGTGTTATTATCAGTGATTAAAAGAGATTATTAAAAAATGTGTTGATATATCCATTTGACCCCAAAAAGAGTTTGGTAAATCTACTTTTATGTGATGTAAAATTAATAGCTTCTATTTATAGGCTGGTTATTAAGCAATCCAGAATGTAACAACTTAGCCAAATACCAGTCAGTTGTTCCAATGAGTTATTTTCTTATATATTTATTATAACCATATAATTAATGTTATTCTTACACAGTGTACTCATAACTAATAACTGACTTTTTAAAAAGGGAAAAGGAAAACAATGATCTATTTTATTTAAATGATGTGCTGATGATTAATTTTTATGTCCTATTAGCCAGGCTTTGGTGCCAAATTGCACAACCCATATTTTGTAGATGTGATTAACTTTTGTAATCAGTTAAATTTAAGCGGAGTATACCACTCTCAATAACACACAATTAGTTGGAGGTATTAAGAGGTAAAACTGAGGTGTACTGGAGAAGAAGAAATTCTGCCTCAACACTAATTTGAAAATCTTGTCTCCTTTTCTAGCTTGCTGACAGGCCTTTCAGATTTCAGACTTGCCAGACCCCATAATTGCCTGAGTCAATTTCTGAAAATTTATCTCTTTCTCTCTCCCACTCTCCATCTATGTGTGTGTGTGTGTGTGTGTGTGTGTGTGTGTGTGTACATATATGTATGTATATGTGCCTTTGAAGAACATAAAGGTTAAGGGCACCAACTCCCTATTCAGTTGAAAAACTGTGTATAATTTTTGACCTATTTGGTTCAAAATACTAATAATTAATTTTTATTACCTAGATACTGTGCTTTTGAAAATTACCTTATATAAAATTTATAAAATTTAAGGGCTAACAAGATCTTGAAAATAAAAAATATATTTTTATAATAAAAAAGACACACACGACTTTTTTCTTATTTTCTGTCTAATCCAAATGATAAATATATCTATCACATTGATTAATTTCTGTGGAAATTCAATCACACTTTCTAAAATGGTACTTAGTGCAGGAATGCAACTATATATTGATTTTATGATGTAGGTACTTTATTGAATAAATGCATACTGCAATACAAAGAGTCAATCAATCAAACAAATTAGATAAATTATTGCAAGGAATGTAGAGAAATCAATGCATAAAAAGCTTTTATGTTTGATGTGTCAACCAATCATACTGCAGCTCATTGAACTATATTTGGGTTGTGGAATGACCTCTTTTCTACACTTTACATCTGAATAATAGACTATTACTCATTCAAGATGACAGGAAACTAAGATTGCTGTCTCCAACAACAATTTTCACATAAACGTACTTAGAAGAAAAGAGGCATCTTAAATGCATCATCCCCCCGACCCCACACATGAATGCATATTATTTCATAGAAAATTGGCACATTGCAATTTTGGCACTCAACCAAACATATCATATATTTTAAGTAGTTCTTGGCATTTAGATATCACACATACTCTTTCTATAAATTAGCTTATCCAAATTTAGTATCCAGGTAAAACTGTAAAATATTTTTAATAAATTAAGAACAAAATTAAAGGATAGCTATTTTCAGAACAAAAAGTATAGTGTGTTATTTAAAATATCTAAAGAAAAAAATAGTCCCTTAAACATTTTATATTACATATTCCACATATGAGGAAAAATAGCAACAATATTCTATCACCAGCAGTATCACCACAACAACCAGTATCACCATCTACATTTTAAAAGTATTAAAATGTGCATACAGTAAAATCATAGGGCTATGACTGACAAGCATTGCCAACAGCCAGGAGTAAAAATGTGACATATATACTATGAATAGTGAAATCAACTTGGTTCCCCAATTTCCAATTGTCAAAAACTGCTACATAAAAAACAATTTCTATATTTTTTTCTATTGAGGGTAACTAAAATGATAGATCTGCCAAAGACTTGATTAGAACTAGACATGGAATTGCTCCTATCTGTTATAATATTTTGACCTAATAACTTTCATATGATTTGATCATTCATCATATAGTTAGAATTGTAATTCTAACCAATAATTTCCATTTGTCAGAAATACTAAGGCACTCTTATACAACAGTATAGAAAATAAAATAAAAGTTGAAGTGCTGGTCTTTTAGAGTCAGGCGTTGTTGTCTTAGTACATCTACTCATTGATTTCACTTGCTCATGCACTAAAATCTCTTGAATAATACTAATAGCACTTTTAATTTATTCTGTAAGAGTTCAATCATTTAAAATTATGGAGATTATATTATTTTAGTGGTCTTCAACTAACTAAGCTTAATATCACAGAAACAAAACCACTGAGATACTACTATATGCCACCAGGTATTATTATCTTTTGAAATTCAACATTGTGGGTGCAAGCAATATAATACGCCTTAAACTCAGTTCTTCCTGGTTGTACCAATATCTATTTTTAAAAGACATGTTTCATGATACAAAGAAAACAACAAATGATCCATTGGTAGGTGAAAAGGTCAAGATTAAAAGGGAGCAAATCTGTATTCTACCAATAGTTCTGCTACTAAGTAAATAATCTTTAACGTTTCACTCTATAAAATTGGAGCATCTTTATATCTATAAATTTCTACTACCATACTCTGCACACAAAATTTGGCTAAGGGCCTATTCATAGTGTTATAATAGTTAAAAATCGCAATGCCTTACAAAATAAAGATAATGTATATTATAGGCAATTACAATCAGATATGGTACTGGATTGTCATCCCTCTCTCTTTCTCTACTCTTCTTTATTCCCTTCTCATACATACATGCACACATGAATATGTGCGCATGCACACACACACACTTTATAACATTTTGAAAAGTTGTCAAATGGATTTGGTCACATTAAAGCATCTATCTAGAATTCTATTTACAGATACACATAGAAGAAGAAAATCAAACTGTTGGGGAAACTCTATTGTGAGTTTAAATTTTAGAACTTTATTCACAATTTTAGAAAGGCTATTTGAAAGAGCTCATCTTCCTTGGTAGTCTTTACATTTTTGCCTGAGAATTTTCAGGAAAACATATGCTATCTGAAAATTACTTGTCTAGAGATTGTTTAACTGCATGTCTTCTACATTATGAGCATGAATAATACATGGATTTAGAAGTTGGCACATTCTCTAATTTCTTCCTTTCATCTCTATGAACACAAGCTAAAAAAACCTAGAAAAAAATGGATAAATTCCTGGAAACACACAACCTTCCTAGATTAAACCACAAGTAAATTGAATTCTTGAGCAGATCAATAATGAGTTCCAAAACTGAATCAGTAATAAAAAGCCTACCAAAGAGAAAAAGCCCAGGAGCAGACAAATTCATAGACAAATTCTTCTAGATGTACAAAGAAGAGGGGGTACCATTTCTATTGAAAATATTCCATATAACTTGAGGAGGAGAAATTCCTCTCTAACTCGTTCTATGAGGCCAGGGCCATCCTGATGACAAAACCTGGGACACACATACACACACACACACACACAAACACACAAATTCAGGCCAATATCTTTGAAGAAAAATAGATGCAAAAATATTTATCAAATTACTAGCAAACCAAACTAAACAGCACATCAAAAAGTTTATCCACCATAATCAAGTTGGTTTTTACCCCTGAGATGCAAGGTTGGTTTAACATATGTAAATAAATAAATTTAATTCATCCCATAAGCAGAACGAAAAACAAAGACTACATGATCATCTCAATAGATTCAGAAAAGGTTTTAGATAAAATTCAACTCCTTGCTTGTTAAAAATCTTCAAAAAACTAGAAACTTTACTTCAAAATAATTAAAAGAACATACTTCAAAATAATAAAATTTATCTATGATAAATCCATGGCCAACATCACATTGAAGGGACAAAAGCTGGAAACATTCCCTTGAGAAGCAGGCCAAGACATTAATGCTCTCTCTCACCACTCAAACATTTTACTGGAAGTCCTAGCCAGAGCAATTAGATAAGAGAAAGAAATAATAGGCATCAAAATAGAAAGAAAGGAAGTCCAACTATCCTTTTTTTTAGATTATATTATTCTATACCTAGAAAACCCCATAGCCTCTGCCCAAAAGTTTCTTGATGTGATAAACAATGTAAGCAAAGTTAAATGATACAAGGGCAATGTATGAAAATCAGTTGCATTTCTATATAACACCAACATCCAAGCTGAGAGCCAAATGAAGAATGCAATCCCATTCACAATGAGAAAAATAAAATACCTAGGAATACAGCTAATCAGAGAAGTAACAGATCCCCACAATGAAAATTACATAATACTGCTCAAAAAATCAGAGATGTCACAAATGAATGGAAAGACATTTCATGTTCATAAAAGACAGAATCAATATTGTTAAAATGGCTTTACTGCACAAAGCAATTTACAGATTCAATAGTATTTTTTTCAAACTACAAATTGCATTCTTCACAGAATTTAAAAAAAAAAAAACTTAAAAAAATTCCTGTGGAACCACAAAAAAGCCCAAATAGACACAGCAATCCTAAGCAAAAAGAACAAAGCTGGATGTGTCACATTACCTGACTTCAAACAATATTGCAAGGCTACAGTAATCAAAACAGCATACTTCTGATATAAAAACAGATACATAGATCAATAAAAGAATAGACAACCCACAAATAATGCTATACAACTACAACCATCTGATCTTTGAGAAAGTTTCAAAATTAAGCAATGGAAAAAGGACTTCTATTCAATAAATCGTGCTGGGATAAACTAGCTAGCAATGTGTGGAAAACTGAAACAGGACCTCCTTCCTTACACCATATAGAAAAATCAACTGAAAATGGATTACATATTTAAATGTAAAACCTAAAAATTTAAAAACCCTGGAAGATAACTTAGGAAATATCATTTTGGACATAGGACCCAGCAAAGATTTCATAACAAGGACATGAAAAGCAATTGCAACAACAACAAAAAATGACAAATGGGACCTAATTAAAGAGCTTCTGCATAGCAAAATAATCAACAGAGTAAACAGACAACCTACAGAATGAGAGAAAATTTTTGTAAACTATGCAACTGACAAAGGCCTAACATTTAGCATCTATAAGAAAGTAAAGCAAATTAACAAGCATAAAACCAAACAACCACATTAAAAATTTAGGCCTGGTGTGGTGGCTCACTCCTGTAATCCCAGGACTTTGGGATACCAAGGCGGGAGGATCACTATTTTAAAATTCCAGATGTCTGCATAGTAGTAAGTTACTTGAGCATGCTCTCATATTTTCTCCTTTTTTAACCTTTTCTAAATATGTTAATTTTTTGCCTTAAGTTAATATATTCAATGTATTTGAAAAGATGAGAGTCATGCTAAGCACTTTTTAGATCTTAAAATATGCCTTTGAGAGTGATGTCTAAAAGGTACAGTCTAGGAAGTCACAGTTCATCATTCCCCCATGAAAACATTAAGAAAACAGCTATAGACTGACTAAATAAATAGTATAGAAATTCTGAAACCAGTTAAAGAATGATAGCCACCAATTGGATGCACAGCCAAGAAAGAGACACATTCAATATGTTAGAAAATTCTGTGGTATTTTTATTCACTCTTGCTTCATCTCGTCCCTGGCATAGTAGTGTAATCAGGAGAAAATGAGGCAATCATGTGTTCCTTTGGTTAGGCAGAAGTAGTAGAGTAGAACATGTTTGCAACATTCTGACTCATCTATGGGCTACCTAAAAGATTATTCTCTGCATTACTCTGATATATTATGGGAATATGATCTCCATCAAAGATCATATGAAGAACATAAGTATAAATTCTATCTTCAGTCGACAGAAGCTTCAAAAGGCAGGGCCAGTTCCATGGCACGTAAAACCTGCAGGGGAATTGCAAATCCACATACGCCTGAAGGCAAGACATTACAGGTAGAAGATGGAAACATGACCCATTTAAAGGAGCAACATAAACTAAAAAAGGCAGCTTCCCTAAAAGAAGACATGAATTGGAATTAAAAAACCAAACTTTAAAACCACTTTCTTAATATACTCAAATAGTTAAAATGAAACATAAGCTAAACATAAAAAGAAATTAGAAACTATGTATGAAAAATATTCACAATGTGATAGAAATTATTTAAAAAACCTAACTATCTCTGGAGCTGCAAAAGGCACGAACTCAATTATAAAATTCACTAGGGGGTTTAAGCAGCAAACTCAGACAGGGAAAAGAAACAATCATAAAACTTGAACGATAGTCTTTAGAAATTATTGAGTATGAGAAGTAAGAAAAAAGTAAAGAAAAGTGAATAGGAGGGAAGAGAGAGGTAAAACATCACCAAGCAGATCAAAATATATCTTGTGGTAGTATGTCAGTCTATTTTACATTGCTGTAAATTAATATCTAATGCTGGGTTATTTATAAAGAAAAAAGGTTTATTTTGGCTGACTATTCTGCAGACTACACAAGAAGCATAGTGCTGGCATTTGCTTCTGGTGAGGGCTTCAGGAAGCTTACTATCATGGCAGGAGGTGTAAGGAGAGCTAGCATGTCACATGGTGAGAGAGGAAGGGAGGAAGTACCAGGCTATTTCAGCAACCAGCTTTCACATGACATAATAGAGTGAGAATTCACTCATTACTGTGAGTAGGGCACCAAACCATTCATGAGAAACTTACCTCCATGACCCAAACCTTCCCCACTATGCCCTATCTCCTACATTAGGGATCACATTTCAACATGGGATTCAGAGGTGATGAGCATGCAGACTACATCAGGAACTTGCAGGAGGTGAAGAGAAAGAAAAAAAAAAAACAGAAAAATTATTTGAAGAAATAAGTATGGAAACTTCCCAAATTTGAAAAAGATATAAATATACAATTACAAGAAGCTCAATGAATTCCAAGTAGGACAAAATCGTAGACCCTAAGACACATTAAAATCTAACTGCTGAAATGCAAAGACAGGAAAAGGACATTGAAAACAGCAAGGTAAAATGGACCCATCATATGCAAGAGCTCTTAATATGACTATCCTAGTGAATTTCTTATCAGACATCTTGGAGAACAGAAATAATGGCATGATACATTTAAAGAGATTGAAGAAAAGAACTGCCAATCAGGAATTCTATACCTGGCAAAACTATATTTCTAAAATAGATGAGTAGTCAGGACATTTTCATACAAACAAAAGCTGAAGTAGCTTACCACCCCTGGACCTTCCCTGCAAGAAATATTAAATGGAGTCCTTCAAGTAGAATCCTAGACAATCACTCAAAGCCATAAGAAAAAATATAAACATCTCCAGAGAAGGTGATATGGTTTGACTGTGTCCCCAAAAATTCATGTGTTAGAAACGTAACCTTTAATGCAAGAATTTTGAGAATTGGAACCTTTAAGAGGAGACTAGGTTATGAGGACTCTGTCCTCATGAATAGATTAATATCACTATAATGGGAGTGGGTTACTTATTGGAAAAGTGTGTTTTTTTTTGTTTGTTTGTTTTTTTTTTTTTGAGATGGTGTCTTGCTCTGTCGCCCAGGCTGGAGTGCAGTGGTGCAATCTCGGCTCACTGCAAGCTCCGCTTCCCGGGTTCACACCATTCTCCTGCCTCAGCCTCCCAAGTAGCTGGGACTACAGGTGCCCGCCACCATGTTTGGCTAATTTTTTTGGTTTTGTTTTTTGTTTTTTTGTTTTTTTTTTTTGAGACGGAGTCTCGCTCTGTCGCCCAGGCTAGAGTGTGGTGGCGCAATCTCGGCTCACTGCAAGCTCTGCCTCCTGGGTTCACACCATTCTCCTGCCTCAGCCTCCCAAGCAGCTGGGACTACAGGTACCCGCCACCACGCCTGGCTAATTTTTTGTAATTTTTAGTAGAGACGGGGTTTCACCATGTTAGCCAGGATGGTCTCGATCTCCTGACCTCGTGATCCGCCCACCTCGGCCTCCCAAAGTGCTGGGATTATAGGCGTGAGCCACCGCGCCTGGCCTTTTTTTGGTATTTTTTAGTAGAGACGGGGTTTCACCGTGTTAGCCAGAATGGTCTTGATCTCCTGACCTCGTGATCCACCCGCCTCAGCCTCCCAAAGTGCTGGGATTACAGGCGTGAGCCACCGCACCCGGCCGTGTGTATCTTTTAAAAATGAGTTTTGCACTCTATTGCTTTGTCTAGAAGATGTGCTCTGTTTCCTGCCTGCTTTCTCCCATGGGGTGATGCAGAAAGAAGGTCCTTGACAAATGCAAGCCCCTCAATCTTAAACTTTCCAATCTCCAGAACTATAAGAAATAAATCTTTGTTCATTATAAATTACCCAGTATTAGGTACTCTGTTATGTCAGTACAAAACAGAGTAATAAAATAGGTAAATAGATGAACATATAACAAATATAAATATTATTATTATTTTAATTTTTACTTGTATCACCACATATTATCTGTAGGATTTAAATTATAAATGAATAAAGATTATAAATCTAAAATCTTTATATGATAATGGTAATGGTTACATAACATATAAAGATATACAGTTTAGCCTTGGACAACATGTGTTTAAATTGTGAGTCCACTTATACATGTATTTTCTTCTGCCTCTGCCACTGCTGAGACAGCAACATGTTCAGGACTGAACATGAAATGATGAGGATGAAGACCTTTGTGATGATTTAAACCTACTTAATGAATAGTAAGTATATTTTCTCTTCCTTATGATATTCTTAATAAAATACATTCTCTAGCTTACTTACAGAACATAATACATATAAAATACAGAACATGTGTTAAACGACTATGTTATCAGTAAGGTTTCTGTCCAACAGTAGGCAATTAGTAGTGAAGTTTGGGGGAATAGAAAGTTATATGCAGATTTTCAACTTGTAGGGACTTGGCATTCTTATCTCTTATATTGTTCAAGTGTCAATTATAATTTATGACATTAGTAACGTAAACTGGGAAAGGTGGTAAGCTGCAATGAAGTTTTATATGCAATTGAAGTTAAGATGGTATCAATTTAGGATGGATTTTTATAGCCTTATGATGTTTTCTATATTACTCACATGGTAACCAAAGAACCATGTTTTTTGGGTAACCAAAGAGAAAATAGCTACAAAATATACACAAAAGGAAATAAGAAGGGATTCAAAATGTATTCACATAAAATAAACTATACACAAGGGAGGTCAGTAATACAGGAATAAAGACAAATATCTATAACACACACACACAAATCAAATTACAAAATGGAAAGTATTGATAGTGCTCCCCTGTCAATAATTATCCTAAAGGCATATAAAATATAGTCTTCAATCTGAATACAGAATGGATAAAAATAAGATCAAACTACTTGCTGTCTACTAGAGACAGTTTAGATGTAAAGAAATACAAGTGTTGAAAAACAAGATGGAAAATACAAAGGAACAAGAAGAGAGTAGGGGTGGCTATACCAATTTCAGCCAAAATAACTTTAAATTAAAAAAAAACTACTACAAGAGGGAAAAAGGTAACATTATTTAATGATATAAAAACCAATTCACAAGGAAGATATAACAATTATAAACATACATGTGCTATATACATCAGAGCTCCAAAATATAAGAAGCAATTCTTAACAAAATTGAAGAGAAAAATAGGCAACTCTACAATAATATGAGGAGACTTTAGTACCCTACTTCCAAAAATAGACAGCAAAACCAGGCAGAAAATCAATAAAGTAAAAGGGTACTTAAAAAATACCTTGAACATTTAGACCTAATAGACATATAGAGAGCACTCCACTCAACAACAGCAAAGTACATTTTTTTTCACATACACATTGATTGTTTTCAAGGAGAGGCCATATATTTAGGCCCCCCAAAATAGTCTCAATAAATTTAAAAACATTTAAGTCATACAACATACATTTTCCAGTTACAATCAGTTGTTGACTTCTATTCATTGTATTGTGACTGGAAAAGACTACACACACACACACACACACACACAATTTTTTTTAAATAATAAATTTAGAAAAGCTGCAGGATACAAAATCAACAAAAAATTAATTGCCTTTCTATATACTAACATTGAAAAATTTGAAATAAAAATTAAAAAACAATTTTACAATAACATCAAAGGGAATAAATACTTAGAAATAACTTAGTCAAGGAGGCAAAACATTTTTATAGTATAAATGAAAAAAATTGATGAAAGAAATTAATATATTAATAAATGGAAAGAAATCCTGTTTTCATAAATTCAAAAACAATATTGTTAATATGTGTAGAGTATCCAAAGCTGATGTACAAATTCAACACAATCCCGATCAAAATGATGGCTGAGAGAGAGGGAGAGAAAACTCTCTCATGCCTCTTCTTTTAAAGGGACTATTCCCACCCATAAGAGCTTCACTTTCACAACCTAGTTAACTCCCAAAGGCTCTTCTTCTATTCACATTGGGGCTAAGGGTTTTAACATAAATTTTGTGAGAAAAACAACATTTAGTCCACGGCATTCTTCCCCTGCCCCCCACCAAATGCTTGTTTTTATCACAGGCCAAATTAATTCCTTTCATTCTAACATTTCTAAAACTCTTAACTCATTCCAGAATCAATTCTAAAATCTAAAGTTCTTAACTTCATGTAAATATCATATCATCTAAATCAGATGTGAGTAAGACTTTCATCCTTAGACAAAATTCCTCTCTAGCTGTAAGTCTGTCAAACTAAAGAAGTTATATGCTTCTAAATCAATGGTGGGAGAGGCATGGAATAGACATTCTCATTCCAAAAAGGAAAAACAGGAAAGAAGAAAAAAGATTATAGTTCCAAGCACATCCAAAACCTAACTAGGCAAACTCTGTAAAATCTTAAGGGTGGAGAAAAATTTTTTTTTTGTCCCAATGCTCTGCCTTCTGGACCCACTAGGTAGCAATGTCACCCTCACGGCTCAGCGGGGCAATGCCTATGTCATGGCTGTTTGCAGTGCCTGACCTATGGCCATGATGGGGCTTTCTGCCAGGGCTCTGCCTATGCTGACACTCTGCCATGCAGAAATTGCCTCCACAGGCTCTACTGGATGGCACTATCCCTATGGCATGGAATGTCCCTGCTCCCTTAGCTTCGTTGGGCACTGTCTGCCTTACAGATCATTGAATTACCTTTAAGGTCCTCTTTTTCTTGAAAGTTAGCACACAGTTTCAGCCTTTTTAATTTTATCACATTTTCTCTTTTTTTAATTTTTTATTTCCAGCTGGCAGTGATTCTGCTGGTATAATCAGATATCTATTCCTGGGTATTTTTAGTTGACTGATTGAGTCTGTGCTTCAAACTGGCAGTTTTCCTGCTGGGGTGGTTGATTAATTCCATGATTCACATCCATCTATCTCAATCTCCTTATCAAATGTTTGCTTTGTCACATCCTCAATGCTCTATAACATATTTTAAAACATGCTTTCTCACTTTTTGCAATATAAACAGGTTGAAAAAGTTATACTTTTTCAGGTTTTGGCTTATTTGTTTATTTTTTATGCTAATTTTGAACTCTTGGCCTCAAGCAATCCTACTGCCTTGGCTTCCCAAAATGCTGAGATTACAAACATGAGCCACTGTGTTCAGTCACTGGTTCTTTTATACTTAAAATTCAAATTGTCTTTTTTGTAGATGAAATGATTCTATACCTAGAAAACCCCATCAACTCAGCCCAAAAGCTTCTTAAGCTGATGTATTAGGGTTCTCTAATACATCATCTAGGGTTCTCTAGAGGGACAGAACTAATGGAATATATATATATATATATATCTTACATTATCACAAGGTCCCACAACAGACCATCTGCAGGCTGAGGAGCAAGGTGAGCCAGTCCGAGTTCCAAAACTGAAAAAATTAGAGTCCAATGTTTGAGGGCAGGAAGCATCCAGCACTGGAGAAAGATGTAGGCTGGGAGGCTAAGCCAGTCTCTCTTTTCACATTTTCCTGCCTGCTTATATTCTAGCTGCACTGGCAGCTGATTAGATAGTGCCCCTTTCTTGGTTCTAGGAGGGGCCAAATGCAGCAATTTATTCTTCACCTTAGAAGAAATATCTCAGCAAGCCCCACACCACTAAACCCCCAGAAATTTTACTGAGGTAGAAGTTCCCCTGAATTTTAGTTGGATTTGTTTCCCATTCTCTGGCAATGCAAATACCTCACCAATAAGTCCAGTGTGTTTGCTACTTCTTGCTCACTGGATCCAATCAGCATAATGTCATCAATGTAATGGGCCAGTGTGAAATCTTGTGGAAGCAAAAAGTGATCAAGATTTCTCTGAATAAGATTATGACACAAATCTGGAGAGTCGATATACCCCTGAGGTAAGACAGTAAATGTACATTGCTGGCCTTGTCAGCTGAAGGCAAATTGTTTCTGGTGGGCCTTATGGGCAAGAATAGAGAAATAGGCATTTGCCAAGTCAATGGCTGCATACCAGATATCAGGAGATGTGTTAATTTGCTCAAGCAATGAAACCACATCTGGTACAGCAGCTGCAATCTGAGTTACCACTTGGTTAAGCTTATAATAATCCACTGTCATTCTTCAAGAGCTGATAAGCAAATTCAGCAAAGTCTCAGGATACAAAATCAATGTTCAGGAATCACAAACATTTCTATACATTAACAACAGACAAGCAGACAAATTGAGAATAAACTTTCATTTACAATTGCCACAAAGAAAATAAAATATCTAGGAATATAGCTAACAAGGGAAGTGAAGGAACTCTTCAAGAAGAACTACAAACCACTGCTCAAGAAATCAGAAAGGAAACAAAAAGGTGAAAAAACATTCCATGTTCATAGATAGGAAGAATCGATATTGTGAAAATGGCCATACTGCCCAAAGCAATTTATATATTCAATGCTATTTCCATTAAACTACCATTGAAATTCTTCAAAATGTTAGAAAAAACTATCTTAAAATTCATATGGAACCAAAAAAAAAAAAAAAAAAGGAGCCCATATAGCCACAACAATCCTAGGCAAAAAGAATAAAGCTGGAGGTATCACACTACCTGACTTCAAACTATACTACAAGGCTACAGTAACCAAAACAGCATGGTACTGGTACAAAAACAAGTATATAGACCAATGGAACAGAATAGAGAACTCAGAAATAAAACCACACATCTACAACCATATGAGCTTCAAAAAAGCTGACAAAAACCAGCAATGGGGAAGAGATTCCCTATTTAATAAATAGATAAATAGTGCTAAGAAAACTGGCTAGCCATATGCAGAAAATTGAAACTGGACCCCTTCCTCACAACTTATAGAAATACTAAATCAAGGTAGATTAAAGACTTAAATGTAATACCCAAAATTATAAAACCCTGGAAGGAAATATAGTCAATATCATTCAGGACATAGGCACGGGCAAAGATTTTATGAAGAAATTACCAAAAGCAATTGCAACAAAAGCACAAATTGACAAATGGGATCTAATTAAACTAAAGATCTTCTGTGCAGCAAAAGAAACTATCATCAGAGAGAACAGACAACCTACAGAATGGAAGAAAATTTTTTCAGTCTATCTATCTGACAAAGGTATAATATCCAGAATCTACAGGAAACTTTAGCAAATTTACAAAAAAAAAAAAAAAACTCCACTAAAAAGTGGGCAAAAGACATGAATGGACACTTCTCAAAGGAAGACATTTATGTGACCAACAAATACATGAAAAAAAGCTCCACTTCACTGATCATTAGAAAAATGCAAATTAAAACCACAATGAAATGTCATTTCATGCTAGTCAGAATCACGATTATTAAACAGTCAGGAAGCAACAGATGCTGGCGAGGTTGCAGGGAAATAGGAATGCTCTTACACTGTTAGTGGGAATGTAAATTAGTGCAACCACTGTGGAAGATGGTGTGGCAATTCCTCAAAGATTTAGAATCAAAAATACCATTTGACCCAGTAACCCCATTACTGGGTATATACCCAAAGGAATGTAAATTATTCTGTTATAAAGGTACATTCACATGTATGTTCATTGCAGCATATTCACAATAGCAAAGACATGGAATCAACCCAAATGTCCATCAATGATAGAATGGATAAAGAAAATGTGGTACATATACACAATGGAATACTATGCAGCCACAAGAAGGAATGAGATCATGTCCTTTTCAGGGAAATGGATGGAACTGGAAGCCCTTATCGTCAGTAAGCTAATGCAGGAACAGAAAACTAAACACTGCATGTTCTCACTTATAAGTGGGAGCTGAACAATGAGAACATATGGACACAGGGAGGGGAACAACACAAACTGAGGCCAGTTGAGGGAAGGTAGGGGGAAGAGCATCAGAAAAAATAGCTAATTCATGCCAGGCTTAATAACAAGATGATGGATTCATAAGTGCAGCAAATCACCATGGCACATGTTTACGTATGTAACAAACCTGCACATCCTGAATGTGTACCTGGGAACTTAAAATTAAAAAGAAAACAAATTTAAATATAAAAAATAATTTTCTATCTAACTTATTTCTCTCTTCTCACATATTACTATAATCAGTCAGGAAAAACAGACTGCTCATTCAACACTTCACTTAGAAATCTCCTCGGTAAATATTGAACTTCATTGCTCATCAGTTTTACCTTTCAAAAAACACTGGAACTCAAACACAATTTAGCCAAGTTCTTTGCTACTTCATAACAAGCATTGCTTTTCCTCCATTGTCCAATGATGCATTCCTCCTTTTCATGTGAACCTCATTAGGATGGCTTTTACCATCCACAGTTCCACAAACATCCTGTATATTATTATTTATGTATTCTCTAAGAAGATAAATGCTTTATCTACAGCTCTCCTCTTTCTGATCCTTTATTATAATCACCTTTAAAAGTCTCTTTGGAGACTTGGGTGTTTTTAGCATGTACTTCAAAACTCTTCCAGCCTCTATACATTACCCAGTTCCAAAGGCATTTTTAGGTGTTTAATACAGCAGCAGCTCATTTCTTGGAACCAATTTCTGTCTTAGTCTGTTGGACTGCTATAACAAAATACTATAGACTGGGTGGCTTAAATGACTGAAATTTATTAGTTATATGTCTGAAGGTTGTGAAGCCCAATATCAAGGTGCCAGCAAAACTGGTGTCTTAGGAGGACACACTTCTTAATTTGCAGACAGGCAGTTTTTGTATCCTCACGTGGCAGAGAGAGAAAGAGAAAGGAGAAATGGGGGGTGAAGAGCAAGTTGGTCTTCTCACTTTTCTTGTTATAACCTTTTCTTCTAATGCCCCAATACCATTCATGAGGGCTCGAGCTTCATGATATAATTACTTTCTAAATGCCCCACCAACTAATTTCATTACATTGGGAGTTAGAATTTCAATATATAAATTTGAGGGGAAAAGAAACATTCCGTTTGTAGAATAAACCAATAGGATAAAATAGAAAGCCCAGAAATAAACTTTTGCCTATATGGGCAAATGATTTTAGACAAAGTCATTGAATTGAGAAAACAAATGGTGATGGGAAAGCTGGATATCTACATGAAAAAGGATCATGTCTGATACTTACCTTATACCATATACAAAAATTAACTCAAAATTGATCAAATGCCTAAATGTAAGAGCTAAGGGCATAAGACTCTCAGGGAAAGACGTAAGGGAAAATCTTTGTAACATTGGATTTGGCAATAATTTCTGAAATATGATACCAAAAGCACAGGCGAAAGAAGAAACAATAGATAAATTGAAGTTTATTAAAATTAAATATATTTTTGCACTAAAAATACTACCAGAAAGTAAAAATGCAACCTACATAATGGGAAAAATATTTTCAAATCATATATCTGATAAAGAGTTAATATCCAGAATATACAAAGAACTACAACTCAGTAACAAGAAAATACAAAACAACTTGAGTAATAAATGGGCAAAAAAGTTGAATAGTCATTTCTCCAAAGAAGATATACAAGTGACCATTAAGTACAAGAAAAAATGGTCAACATGACTAACAAAGTCTCTGTGTGTGTGTGTTGTGCCACTTGGAGCTGTGAATGGGATGACACAAGCAACGCTGTGGGCACCACCAAAGGGACTGTGCTGGGTCTGACCTGAAGCCAGAATATCACTGGGTCTTTCCCAACATCTGCTATAACCACTCCCTGTCTACTGCCTATGTTTGTAAACACACTAGGTCTCTACAATCAGCAGATGGTAAAGCCAGCCTGGCCTGTGTTTTTCCCTTCTTGTTGATGAGTACCCCAGGCTTGGGCAGGTCCAGAGATACCATCTAGGAGCCAGGGAGTCAAAAACCTTAGACATTTACAAAAACCTTAAACAATAGACATAGTTCTATTGTACTGTGGCTGAACTAGCACTCAAACAAAAAGACACAGTTTTTCTCACTCTTCCCTCAGGCAGACTCTTTCCACAGGCAGACAAGCCTCCCCTTGTGGCCATCCACCACCACAGGCCCACAGAGAGTATTGCCAGGCCATTGCCAATGTTCATTTAAGGTTCCGGTGCTCTTCATTCGGCTTGTGGTAAATGCTGCCAGGCCTGGGATTCACACTTTTAGGCAGTGGGCTACCCTCTGGCTGAAGGAAGATTCATAAGTGCCATCCAAGAGCCAAGACCTTGAATTCTGGACCCTAAGAGCCTGCTTGGTGCTGTATAACCCTGTGGCTGACCTGGTACCTAAGTTGCAAAACAAAGTCCCCTTTACTTTTCCCTCTGCTTTTCTCAAGAAGGATTCTTGCCCCACAGTCACTACAGCTGGGAATTTGCTTAGCGTAACCTAAAGCCAGCAAGTCTCAAAGTCTCACCCAAGGCCTTTGGTGTACTACCTGGGTATTGCTGCTGGTTATTCAGGGCCCAAGGGCTCTATAGTCAGCAGGTTATGGGTCTTGCCAGGACTGTGTCTTTCCCTTCAATGTAGTTGGTTTCCTTCTTGTCCATGGTGTGTCTAGATATGTCCTCCAGGAGCTAGGACCTGGAACGGGGGCCTCATGACTCTGACCCATGCCCTATCCTACTGTGACTAAGCTGGTAGCCAAGATTCAAGACAAAGACAAAGTCCTATTTATTCTTCTCTCTCCTTTCAAGAGAGAGAAAGAGGTGTCTTTTGGACTCAGGAGCTATGCCGCCTGCGTTTGGTAGAGCAGTGGTGCAAACATTCTCTTAGCCATCCTGGCTGATGTCTGAGTCAGTTGCATGCTTGTTTAGTCCACTGGCTCTGAACACAGATCAGCACCAGGACTTACTTAGGAGTTTCATTCCTTTTGGTCTATGCTGCCTTTCAAGTTTACTTAGAACCCCAGAGCACTTTAGACCATTTTAGTATGACTTATTCATACTCAAATTCTGACCACCAGCATGCACAATTTCCCTCTCCCTAGGATTGGTTTAAATGTTTTCTCTGTCGGTTGGCAACTTAACCAACCCAATCAGTTTAGTTTCTTCTAGTTTTGCTTTCCACTGTAAGCACTGAGTTCAGTGGAAATTCTCACAATCACTGCACTCTCTCTCTCCCATGTGCATAGCTTTTCTCTTCACACCATGGTTGCTGCTGAGCAAAGGGGGAACGGTGGCATCAGTGATTCCAGTCTATGTTTTCTACCATTTTTAGTGTCTATCTCAGTGATATAATATTAAAACCAGGTACTGTGAGTGCTCACCTGATTTTTAGTTTTTATTAATGTGCTTTTTGTGTGTAGATGGTTTTTAAATTTGGTGGTTCTGCAAGGGGGTGGTGATCAATGAAATCCTCAATACAGCCATCTTTCTCTGTCTCTCCTGTTTGTACTTTTGTTCTACATACTTGTGATTCCAAAGTATAAAAATTTAATATGCCTTATATTTCTGTAGTTTTTAACTTATACAAATATAATTTTTGTTGGTTTCATGATATTAAATTGACTGGTTTTATTAATATTTAGTTCACTTCACGTATTGTTTTATATTTGTTCTATTTCTATAATTTTCATTGTTATAAATCTTGTGACAGTAAAGATGTTTGTAGATAAAACTTCCTTTTATAAATTGCTTAGGACAAATCTCCAAGAAATGAATCTAAGACCTTAGATATTTTTAAAAGCATTTACAGACTTCTAAGTAAATAAAAATCCCAGTTTGAATGGATTTCTAAATTACTAATATTAATGTTGTTACATTAATATTTATAATCTTATATTATTGAGATATATTGAGAATATTAATAAAGTTCATATTATTGAGACATAATGAGAATATTAATAATATTCATATTATTGAGATAAAACATTTTTAGTTTACTTGTTCTGAAAATAATATAAGAAAATACGAATTCTAAATGTGTATATGTCAAGGGTTGAAAAGATTGGGACATTTAATCCATTTATTAATTCATTTATTCATTTCACTTCCTCAACACTAACACATTCTCTATTTTGAGGCAATCATTTAGAGTCTACTGTGCTGATCTTTATAGGCAATAAAGATATTTCTCTCAGTTAACAATACAGTGGAAGTAGTAGCCTCACCAACAAATAAATTGATACTTCAAAACATGTTTAACAAAATAAAAGTTAATTATTTTTTACCTACAGAGAGAAGCGATCACTACTTACTGAGGAATCCAGAGCACTAAAAGTGGGCCTTAAAGATGTATAGTAGAAATTGTAAAAATAGCAGTGCAGCTGTAGTCAGGAGACTCAGTTCTAATATCTGAATACCTCAAATAATTTAGGAAAATCGGTGACATATTCTGTGCTTCGGTTTGATTATGCATTGTATGGAGATAATGATATATCTTTCTTCACGGGGTTGTTGTAAAGATCAAATAATGGTATTGTATTATCCTGAGTTTTTCAGGAAACAGAACGTGAGGCAAAAACATAGATGTCACTATTTTGGTAGTAAAGTGCCAGGGAAGCAGGAGTGAAAAGGTAGAAAGGGAATCAGGAAAGAAGAAAGCACTAATAGAAGTGTGTGCTATTGAGCTGAGTGACACAAACCAATCAATCACCCAGGACTGTCTTCGAAGGGGGCTGAATAAACTATTACATAGTAAAGCAATCTGTCTAAATATGAAAGCAGAATAATTTATCTTGCAGTCTCCTACTGATCAATAATTTACCCTATGGAGCGTTCTTTCCCCTGAATCTCTGGGTTGTAAGCAGTACTTGTATATCATATATTCAGCATTAATAAGGAAATCCCATGTATAATCGCAACAGATGGGCGTTGCAGACATAAAGCAAGATGTTGTGAGGTTATGTTCATTTGTTTCAATATCCATGCTGATTTTTATTCTCCAGAGGCTGCTAGGATAAAAAGAAAAGTAAATACAATTTTTAATTGGGCGAGGCACAATATATATGAGGTGATAACGGACATAGTTAATATTAAGAAGTCAAATGTCCAGCAATAAGAAGACACTGTAAGCAAAGGAGGTAATAATGACTGGCTTTTATTTTATTTTTATTTTTTCTGAGACAGAGTCTCGCTGTGTCACCAGGCTGGAGTGCAGTGGCGTGATCTCGGCTCACTGCAACATCCACCTCCTGGGTTCAAGCGATTCTCCTGCCTCAGCCTCCCGAGTAGCTGGGACTACAGGCACACGCACCACGCCTGACTAATTTTGTATTTTTAGTAGAGATGGGGTTTTACCATGTTAGCCAGGATGGTCTCAATCTCTTGACCTCATGATCTGACCGCCTCGGCCTCCCAAAGTGCTGGGATTACAGGCATGAGCCACCATGCCCAGCCAATGAGTGGCATTTTTATGAACAGTAAGTAATCCTGTTTGAACTAGCATTGTGAATATAGTCAAAAAAGTAAAAGATCAACCTTGAAAACTAAGAGGTGACAATAATCTTTTTATAGTTTATTCTGTAATCCACGCCAGAAAATTTAAAAAAAAATGAATAAGATAATGGCATGATAGAATTATGCTTTAAGATTACACTTGGAAGTAGCAAGAATATATGAATATATAACAAGAAGAAGTGGAGAATGAGAGAATAAGAGAAAGGAAACAGAAAAGTAGATGAACAGTTATATTATGAATATGGACATAACCACTAACCATAAGGGAGCACCTTAATGCTGTCTAGCAATCCTACTCCATTTACCTCGCCCATTGTTCTAGAATCTAGATAACTATTTCACAGTTTCTTCTCTCTGCTCCAAACTTCAACATCTTTTCTCCTTCTATTTTCAGCTCATGAAAATGCTTTTCTACTTACTGTGAATGTAGAAGCAATGTAAAATACCTTTCATGCTTTCATCCTTTCTCACTTATTTTATTGGGGTCCATGTAATTTCATTTGCCACCTACTACTATACATCAATTCTGTACAAAAGTGCCACGTCTTTTTGCCTATTCAAAGACTTTTTTAGGTGTGTGTCTTCCATGTTAAAAACACACAACATGCCAAAAAGATCACTTCCCTTGACTCCCCATCTTTTTTTTTTAGTTTCCGCTTCATTTCACTGATCTTCTTTACATAAAATTTCCCTAAAAGAATCTTCACTCTTTGTCTCCACTTTCTCTCCTACTATTCTGTCTTATGCCCAGGCAAATAAGGCTATTGTAATCAGCATTACAATGAAACTGCTCTAATTAAGGAAACCCATTGTTTCTGTGCTGCTATATCCAGTGATCGATTCTCATTACCCACCTTACTCAGCCTATTAATAACAATGGACACAGTTCATAGCTTTCTCTTTCTTAAGAAAATTTCATTTTTGGCTTCTAGATGCCATTCTTCTCTTACTTCATTAGAGGCTCCTTTTTCTTACTAAAGCTCTTTCTGCCTGGTTGTACCGCATCAACCTTACCTTTAAAAATAAGTATGCTGCAAGACACAATCTCCATACAGTCCTTTTTTGTACTGACAAGAATTCCGTAGGTGGCATTTTTTTTCATACTCTAGGTAGACATCTATTAATGAGTCATAAAATAAATATTATGGGACAAAACTAGGTTGATGAGGGGTGGGGGAATAGAACAGGAAATATTAGATTTCATTGTACTTAATAAAAACAAGTATTTTTCATTTGTGCTGGCTCACAATATAAAATGTACTTTTAAATTATAATTTATGATCAAAAGTGAAAGCCAGTCTTCTTGGTCACCTCATCTATAAGGTGACCTCATCTAGTCCCATGGAATTGAATACCATACCATACCATATTTAAATGCTCAGTGTGTTCCTCTCTCCTGAACTCAAAATTATTTATGAAACTATATATTCAATGTCTTTACTTGGCTGTCTCCTAGCCATTTCAACATCAGCACATGTAAACATCAACTAAGTTGACTTTATTTGACTTTTTACTAAAGTTAATAAAAGTCAACTCTGGTTTCCACCTAAGCTTGCTCCTTTTAAAGCCTTTTGAATCTTAGTGAATAAAAATGTCCTTCTTTCAATTTCCCAGGCCAAAAACGTTGGGGGTAATCCTGGTTGTCATTTCTCTGAAACTCTACATTCAATCCATCTACACGTTCCTTAAGTTCTCCTTTGAATGCATCCCAATTTCAACACTTATCTCCACTTTTATTGCTACTATTCTGATTCAAGGCACCATATTTTTTTTGCCTGGAAGAAAGTAGGAGTCAGTTATCTGGTCCCCCTACTCCTCTCCTTATCTCTACTACTCTTTATTCTCCACACAGCCTCCAGCATTTTCATTTTAAAACATAGGACAGATTATATTACTTCTGTGCTTAAGACATTTAAATGTCTTCCCATGTCATTTTGAGTAAACACCAAATATTTAAAAAGGTGTGCAAACCTCTCTGTGATCTGACTACTGTTACCACTCTTACTGATTTGCTCTTCACACTGATTTTGTTGTTGTTCAATGAAAACACAGTGTATGCTTCCACATCAGGCACTTAACACTTGCAGTTTCCTCTGCCTGAAATATTATTCCCCCAAATATAAGATATTTACCTAAAGAGCTCCCTCCCTGCCTTCAAGTCTTTACTCAAATATTACTTTGTCAATGAAGTTTTCCTCAATTATCTTTATGTAACTAAATATTTCCTATTACGCTTACCTTGCTTTTATTTTTTCCATAGCAGCTTTTATTATTTTAAATACTAAAAATTTACTCTTTATTTTGTTATTTCTTTTGTTTAAAATTGTGGTAAGAACACTTAACATAAAATCTACCCTTTTAACACAATTTTAAGTACACAGTGTAGTAGAGTCATTTTTCAGTCTATGGGGTATTGATTTCAGGTCCCTTACCCACTCCACATCTGTGAATGCCAGAATTGTGGATGCTCAAGTTTCTTATATAAAATGATATGATATTTGCATATAACCTATACATATCCTTTTGTATACTTTAAATAATCCTTCTAGATTACTTGTAACACCTTATACAATGTAAATGGTATGCAAACAGTTGTTATACTACATTTTTAATGCATATTATTTTATTGTTTTTGAATATTTTTGATCTTTGCTTGGTTGAATCCACAGATGCAGTACCCATAAATATGAAGCATCTACTGTATTGTTAGCTATAGGCATACATTTGTATGGTAGATTTCTAGAACTTTATTCATATTGCATAATTGAAACTTTATAGACTTTGAATAGCAATTCTCCACTTTTCCCTCCTCACACCCCATTAACTATTATTCTACTTTTTGTTTCTGTGAGTTTGACTCTTTTAAATATCTCATATAAGTGGCACCATACAGTATATATTTTTCTGTAACTGACTTATTTCATTTAGTGTAATGTTTTCCAAACCCATTCATATTGTCACCTATAAGAGAATTTCTTGGCTGAATAGTATTTTACTGTATGTATATTTGACACTTACTTTACCTATTCATCTGTTGATGGACATTTAGGTTGTTTCTGTATCTTAGATTTTGTGAATACTGCTACAATGAGCATGGAAGTGCTGATGTCTCTTTGATAGATATTATGATTTCAATTCTATATCAAACTAAAAAGTTTGTGCACAGCAAAGAAAACAATCAATAGAGTAAAGAGACAACCTGACAAATGCAAGAAAATATTGGCAAGCCATTATCTGCTAGGGGATTAATATCTAAAATTAGTAAATAACTAGTATAACTCAATAGCAAAAAAACAACACAATTAAAAAATGGACTCAGGAAGTGAATGGATATGTCCTCGAAGATAACATACAAATGACCAACAGGTATATGAAAAGATGTATAATGGAAATGCAAATCAAAACCACCATACCCCTTCATGGGTCCCATGTTTAAAAAATGGTGGGCTTAGTATAATCTGGGGTTGGAGCTTTTGGGCCTCTGCCATCAAAAGGTGAAGCAGAGGACGTGGAAACTCTCACTCCTCATTCTCCATAGACTGGCCAGAATCATTCCATGTTTGCTAGTCTCTTAGAAGAAAAGAATGCTGGCCAGTTGCTGTATCAAAACTGCAACAGGGATGGGCAGCAGTCAGGCAGTTGGGTTGATTGAAATTAGTGGTGGAGTCTTTTTAAAGGTCTGACTTATGTTCAGCCTTCAGAAAAAACAGCCTAATGGTAACTCAGCTTCCACAGTTTCTCTGGGGTCCCCTTGGACAAGGAGAGGTCTATTCAATCAGTTGAGCAGCTTAGAATTGTATTTGCATTTCTCAACATGTATTCCTTAATTGCATTTTTGAAGAGAAACTAAAGATCTCCAATTTATTCAATGTAATTCATTGGTCTATAAATAAGGAAAAATAACTCTTTTACCTACTTCACTAGGTTTGTTGTAAACTAAATAAAGTTCATTGTTATTACATTATAGTCCGATCTACTTATTCCAAATGTGTTTAAAGTATAATTATTGAGACAGGTGGCCAAGACAGCCGACTAGAAACAGCTAAGATATGTGACTCTCATGGAGAGGAACTAAAAGGGCAAATAAATACAGCACCTTCAACTGAAACATTCAAGTACTTACAATGGGACTAATCAAGGAAACAACTTGACCCATGGAGAATGGAGAAAAGCAAGGCAAGACAACGGCCCACCTGGGAGTGATGCAGAGCCAAGAAAATCTCCCCAACCCAGGGAAGTGGTGAGTGAATGTGTGACCCTGGGAAACCACACTTCTCTCATGGATCTTTGCGACCCTTGAAATAGGAGATCCCCTCATGAATCCACTCCATGAAGGCTGTCAGTCTGACACACGGAACTACGTGGGGTCTTGGCAAAGAAAACACTCAGACACATACAGATACTTGGGAGCTTTAGATACTCCAGCTCCTGTCTTCCCAACAAAAGTATCTGCAACTCCTGCAAAGCAGAAGGTTAGACCTCCATACATACCCCTGAGGAAAGAGTTTGAATCCCAGTATTTGGGTGACTTAGTCATTTCAGCCTTTGAGCTTTGCAGAACCCTAGCTGACTGGGGTGAAAGTGGTACCTCAGCACAAGCACAGTGGCTCTATGAAAGTGTGGCCAGTCTGTTTACTTAATCTTTCCTCGATCTCATTTTTCCTCATTATGTAGAACCTCCCAAATGGGGCCTCAAATCACCTTCACCAGTGTTTTCCAGCCAACAGAAGTTTGAAAACTCTCTGGGACAGAGTTTTCAGTGGGAGGGGCAGGTCACCTTCTTTGCTGTTTGGGAGACTTACCCATTCCAGCCGTTAGGCTTTGGAGAACCCAAGCTAACTGTGGGTGGAAGGGATCCCATAGCACAGAACAGCTGCTGTACCAAAATGTGGCCAGACTACTTTTTAAAGCAGGTCCCAAATCCATTCCATCTCATTGGGTAGGACCTTCCAACTGGGGCCTCCAGCCACCCCCGTCTGTATTCTCCAGCCAACAGAGATTTGAAAAGTCCCTGAGACAGAGCTCCCAGAGGGAAGAGCAAAAAACCATCTTTGCTGTTTGGGTGACTTAGTCATTCCAGCCTCCAGGCTTTGGAGTGCCCAAGCTGGCTGGGGCAAAAGTGGTACCCATACACATCTCAGCTGCTCCATAAAATCAGGCTCAGACAGCTTTTCTAAGTGGGTCTCTGATGTCATTACTCCTCACTTGGCAGGACTGCCTAATTGGGCCCTCCAGCTGTCCCTGCCAGTGTTCCCTTGCCTACAGAAATTTGAAAACTCCTCAGATGGAACTCCCAGAGGGATGGGTGGGCCACCATCTTTGGTGTCTGGGTGACTTAGCAGTTCCAACCTTCAGGATTTGGAGAGGCCAAACCATCTGGGAGTGAAACAGTACCCAGCACAGCACAGTGGCCCCATGAAAATATGGCCAGATGGCTTTTTTAAGCAGGTCCCAACACTGTTTCTCATCATCAGGTGGATCACCTTAATGAGGTTATACAACTACCCCCACTGGTGTTCCCCAGCTGACAGAGGTTTCAGACCTCCCTTGGATAAGTCTCCCAGGAAGAGGGGCAGGCCACCATCTTTGCTATTTGGGCGACTTAGCTGTTTCAGCCTTCAGGCTTTAGAGTGTCTGAGGTAATCAGGGACTGAAGTGGATGCCCAGTACCCCACAGGTATTCAACATAATTTTGGCCATACTACTTTGTTAAGTGGGTGTCCAATCCCATTCCTCTTGACTGGGCAAAAAAATCCCATCTGGGATTTTCAACAACCTCCTACAGGTGTATTCAAGATGGCAACAGGTGCTTACCTCCCTGAGGCAGAGATTACAGAGAAAGGAAAAGGTTGCCATTTTTGCTGTTTCACCTCCTTCGCTGATGATACCTACAGGTACCAGAAGATATGAGGTGACTACAGACTGGATTGGACCCTCAGCATATCACAGCAGCCTTATGGAAAAGTGGTCAGATTTTTGAAAAAAATATACAAAGATCAGCAACCTCAAAGATTAAAGACAGATAATCCCACAAAATTGAAAAAGAATCAGTGTAAGAATGCTGAAAACTCAAAAAGCAAGAATGACCACTTTCCTCTGAAAAAGCACATCACCACTCCAGCAAGGTTTCAAAACCAGGCTGAGGCTGTGGTGGCTGAAATGACAGAAGTAGAATTCAGAATATAGATAAAAATGAAGTTCACTGAGTTAAAAGAGTATGTTATAACCCAATGCAAGGAAGCTAAAATTTATGAGAAAACATTGCAAGAGCTGACAGATAAAATATCCAGTATAGAAAAGAACAGAACTGGTCTGATAGAGCTAAAATCACAATCTAAGGATTTTATAATGCAATCACAAATATTAGTAGCAAAATAGACCAAGCAAAAGAAAGAATCTCAGAGCTTGAATACTGCCTTTCTGAAGTAATACAGGCAGACAAGAATAGATAAAAAACAAAAAGAAATAAAAAAATCCAAGAAACATGAGATTATGTAAAGAGACCAAATTTATGGCTGTTTGGTTTGACACATAATCATCAGATTCTCTAAAGTGGAAATGAAAGAAAGAATGTTAAAGACAGCTAGAAAAAAAGGCCAGGTCATCTACAAAGTGAAGCCTTTCAGACTAACAGTGGACCACTCAGCTGAAAACCTACAAGCCAGAAAAATTAGGGGCCAATGTTCAACATTTTTAAATAGAAGACATTCCAACACAGAGTTTTATATTTATCCAAACTAAGCTTCATAAGTGAAAGAGAAATAAAATCTTTTTCAGAGAAGCAGCTGATGAGGGGATTTGTTACCACTAGTGTTGCCTTACAAGAGATCCTAAAGGAAATATTAAATATAGAAAAGAAAGACCATTACCAGCCACTACAAAACCACATTGAAGTAAATACATGAGTGACACTACAAACCAATCACATAAACAAGTCAAATAAACACATATCAATACTAACACTAAATGTAAATGGGCTAAATGTTTCAATTAAAAGAAACAGAGTGACAAGCTGGATAAAGAACCAAGACCCATTGGTACGCTGTCTTCAAGAAACTCATCTCACATGCGATAACACATACAGGCTCAAAATAAAGAGATGAAGGAAAATCCACCAAGCAAATAGAAAATAGGAAAAGCAGAAGTTGCAACTGTAGTTTCTGACAAAACAGACGTTAAAATAACAAAGATCAAAAATGACAAAGAAGATCATTACATAATGGTAAAGGGTTCAATTCAACTAAAAAAAATCTAACTATTCTAAATATATATACACTCAACACAGGAGCAATCAAATTCATAAAGCAAGTTCTTAGAGACCTTCAAAGAGGTCTAGATTCCCACACAATAATAGTGGAAGATGTTAACATCCCACTGTCAATATTAGACAGATCATTGAAACAGAACATTAAGAAAGGTATTCAGGACCTGAACTCAGCACTACATCAAGAAGATCTGATAGATATCCACAAAACTGTGTGGATTCTGAAATTCGAACAGTGGGCAGGAAGCTCTCTAGCAGGAACTCTGGCCTACCAAGAGTCGCTGTTTCCCCTTTTTCTTCCTTTTCACCCAAGAAAACCCTGTCTCACTCACCATTTAAATTGTCTGCCAGCCTTAATTTTCATGGCCATGGGACAAAAAACCTTGTCCTTAGCTGAACTAAGGAAAGGTCCTGCAACACTAGTATTGGGGCAATATTTAGTAACCTGATAAATAAATAGTGGTTTTTAAAAAATTATATATATATATATATAATTTAAAATATATTATTAAATGCATAATTGAAAACATTAAATATATATTTAATAATATATTTTATTATATAAACATATTATATTCTAACAATATAAATATGTTACAAACATAATATATAAAATAATTATATTATAGGTATAATCTATATTTGTTATTATTATATATCATCTATGCATTATATCATTATATATAATAAATATATTAAAATACATATTCATGTATGAATAGAAATATATAAAATAATTATATAATATATTATAATAAGGTAATATAAACTGTTTTACATAACTTACATTATTTTATATTATAAGGAATATTATATTTATTATATTTGAATGTAATTTATATTTAATGAATATTGTTATATATCGTAACAATGAAAATCAAAATTTCTATTTGCTTTGAAATGCATGTGGATAAGTTCATACTTTTTTTAGAACAGCTTTATTATGGTATAATTCAAAGTCATGCATAATTAAATGGAACACAATTAATGCAACTAATCAAGACTATATTTTATGTATAATCATATACATAAAATATATTATTAGTATATATATAATTTTAAATATACAATATGGCTCCTTCCAAAGGGTGATTTTCACATAATGCATCTACCTGCTACATTTGAAAACTATCTTTCTATCACGATAAATAACTTTGATTTACTTCTTCTGCACTTGTTCTAAATGTTGCTGTTTCTCATTATTTTATGTTATATTTTTAGTTTCTACCCTAGATTCACTTTAGTATATGATAGAATTCCCAAGCCTTATCTGCTTTTCCACACAGATCCTTAAAATATATGAGTCCAGCTACTTGTATATCAAAATATTCAGGTGATATTTTCCCAAATAGACCTGATTTCAAATTTTGTTTGTCCAGAGTTGACATATAATTGTCAATTTGTTTCCTAGATTAGGAAGATGAGAGCAGAAGAAAAGTGACTGACTGTTCAAAGTTACCTGTTGAATTTAGCAAAACCAAGACTGACTCTTTTCTAATATTTTCCAATATGCTATTGTAAAATCTTTGTAGGCTAAGGAAATTGATTCATTATTTTCTCACTTCCAACCTTCCTTACAAAATTTTGGCTGCAACAAGGAAATTGGCTGTACATTAGATTCACATTGTTAGATGGTTACCAAATTTACAAAGTTGAGAAATTAAAAGACTATATTAAAGATTGTAATATTTGTATCCTACTGTATGTGTTTCATTAAGTCCAGGTATTTCGTTGAGATTTTCTATTGTCTGATCTATAACAGGTATAAAAGAAAAAAATCCCTTTTTGCTTTGAAATGTATGTGGATAAATGCATACCTTTTTAAGAAAAGGTTTATTAAGTTATAACTCAAAATCAGGCATAATTCAGTAACACACAATTAATGCAAATAATCAAATAATCAAGTCCACATGTAAAAACATTATAAGACATGTAATTAAATATGCTATTAAAATACAGTCTATTTTTTTTCTTCTATGAATAACTGTCAAAAATATAAATTTTGTGATAGTTAATATTGTTTGTAAACTTTGTAAAACTATAAGCAAATAATGGCAACAAGAAAACAGAAAATTAAATATTTCTAAATTTTAAATTGAGTAAATTTGTGTGCCTACTTGATAATTAATAGCATAAAAGAAGTACATAATAGAATCTTCAATGGAAAATTCTGAAATAAAAGGTTTTTATACACAGACAAATGAAAAACTATTTTGTTAAATGAGTAGAAACAAAATAAATCATAGAAAATAGGGAGGGATGGAAAGACATTTTGTTAAAAGAGTTTCTATTAAGCTTCTTAGGAATGCTTGCTTCAAACATGCTTCAGGGAAATTTACAGCACTTTTAAAGCCACATGAGCCTAGGAAATATAATTGCTTTGTTTTATTTTATAGGCTAACTTAACATGTTTCAAAAGGTCTGTGGCTTTTGATCTTTTCTTTCTTATGTTTTTCTGAGAATGTAAAACGGGAGTCTCTGAGGGGGTGGAATCTGTATTTATATATAAATCAATGAACCACACATTCTAATCCATCTGCTTCTGACAGTTCAAAATTTAAGCTCATTATGGCCAAGTTGTCCTTATTAAATATATCCATAGAAGTCCTGTAGCAGATTCTAAGCAATTGGACTTCCAGATGTAAATGCAGTATAAGCATACAAATGAGAAAATGAAGAGTTATTTCTAATTATTCTGGCCATATTGTACAAAGCACACAAATACATTCTAATGTCAGAACAACAGAAAATGTTATTTGCTAATTACATTAATATGTTTTATTAAACTTTTACTGAATAATTACTTAGATTTATGTTTGTTACAAATAGTAGTTTAAAGATGTATGTTAAAACTCCATTTTATTGTTTCAATTATTTGTAAATATATATTCACTACATATAAAATACGTGTAAGTATGCTTTCATACAGAAATTCGCACAGTCATCATTAATAGTCTGTATTAAGCACTTACTGTATACAAGACACTGGGCTAGTTCCTTTGGTTTCACTCAAAATTCTAAACAGCAGTACATGTTCCTAGATGATTTATAATGTACTTGTAACATTATAATGATGTAGAAAATAAATTATGTATATATTTATATATAAATTCTGTATTTATTATACACATATAAAGCACATTATACGTATACACATATAAGGCATATTATATACATATAAAGCACAGAGGATTTTATATGTAAATTTATATACACAATTTATATATAAATATACATAAATATAGATACAGATGTAGATAAAGTAATGTGTGATAAGATGTTATGAATTTGTTTAACATAGTTGTTGCCTCAGCATCCATTTTAGGACAGACACAAGTTGTTTGTAATCCAGTCATGCCTCATCAGCTTTAGTCTAGTTAAAACTTCCTCTTCCCACATGATTGTTTGTAACAGCACCTGCTTGTTTTTTATTTCACTGACCCCACACAACCCGCAGATGCTAATTACAGTGAAACCTAATGACCGTCACCAGAGTCCTGTAAATATGTTTCTCCTTCATGCAGGTTTATGTAAACCAGCTATTCTACAACCCTTTTGGAAAAGGATAAAAAATAATGCCTATTGTCCTTAATAAGGGCATACTTCTATAAGTTTTCTCTCTTTCTCTCTCTTTCTTTCTCTCTGTCTCTCTTTCTTGTTTACCACTTACAGGTTGAGCACCCTGCTGTCTCTGGACTTCTCATCAGCCTCTTGTACACACTTATAATCTCCCTGACCTGTGAGTAATAAACATCCTTTATTTCATGCAGTTTGGCTTCATTTTTTCATTGTATCTCACCTGACACACATATGGTAATGTTCTTCTAAGTGTTACTTAATTTCTTTAACAAATCATAAGGTAATTTGTGTCTTAATTATGACACCACTTACAACACTTTAAAAGTGTTTTAGTACTTGAGTGATAGTGCAAAGTCTGATTTTTTTCAGAATTATTTCCAGAGGCCTAAATTTTCTACAAGAATCATTACTCTTTAAATGAAGCATTGATTCCAAAATGCCATAGTACCACTACAGACCTATTAGAATGATCAAATTCAAAAACACTAACATCAAATGCTAGTGAAGATGTGGAGCAATTGTAGCTTTCATTTATTGCTGATGGGTATGCAAAATATTACAGCCATTGGGAGAGATACTTTGGCAGTGTTTTACAAAACTAAACATAATCTTAGCATATGATTTAGCAATCACACCCCTTGGTATTTATTCAAATGAACTGAAAAGTTGTGTATACACAAAAGCCTGCAAAAGAATATTTATAGCAGCTTTATTCATAATTGTCAAAACTTAAAAGCAGCTAAAATGTTACTCAGTAGATGAATGAATAAATAAACTATTTTTCCTTCAGACAATGGAATATCACTCAGCACTAAAAAGAAATGAACTGGCCAGGTCTGGTAGCTCATGTCTGCAATCCCATCACTTTAGGAGGCCAAGGCAAGTGGATCACCTAAGGTTGGGAGTTCGAGACCAGCCTGACCAATATGGTGAACCACTTCCTCTACTAAAAATACAAAAATTATCTGGGCATGGTGGTGTGCACCTATAGTCCCAGCTACTCTGGAGGCTGAGACAGGAGAATCACTTGATCCAGGAGGCGGAGATTGCAGTGAGCCTAGACTGCACTACCACACTCCAGTCTGGGTGACAGAGTGAGACTCTGTCAAAAAAAAAAAAAAAAAAGAAAGAAAAGAAAAGAAAGAAGGAAAGAAAGAAAGAAAGAAAGAAAGAAAGAAAGAAAGAAAGGAGTTATCAAGGTATATAAACACATGCAGGAAATCTAAATACATATTGCTAAGTGAAATAAAGCTATACAGTATATGATTCCAAGTATATGGTATTCTGTAAAAGGCAAAACTACGAAGACAGTGAAAAGGTTAGTGGGGTTAGTGGTTGCTGGGGTTACGGGGTAGTGTGGGAAGGACAGGCAAAGCACAGAGGATTTTATAGGAGTGAGATTATTCAGTATGATATTGCAATAATAGATACATGTCATTATACATTTGTCAAAACCTATAGAATGCATAACACCAACAGTGAATCCTAATGTAAACTATTGATATGGTTTGGCTGTGTCCCCACTCAAATCTCTTTTTGAATTGTAGCTCTCATATTTCCCACATGTGTGAGAAACCGAGTGGGAGGTAATTGAATCATAGGGATGGGTTTTTCCTGTGCTGTTCTCTTGATAGTGAATAAGTCTTATGAGATCTGATTGTTTCATAAAGGAAAGTTTGCCTGCACATGCTCTATCTTGCCTGCCACCATGTACCATGTGACTTTGCATCTCGTTTGCCTTCCGCCATGATTGTGAGGCCTCCCCAGCCATGTGGAACTGTAAGTCCATTATACCTCTTTTTCTTTATAAATTACCCGATCTCAGATATTTCTTCATAGCAGTGTGAAAATGGACTAATATAACTATGGACTTTTGATGTGTAGGATTCCAACATTTGCCATCCTAAAATATGACTGTAGGAGATCAAAATATGCCTTTTTGGCATAAATTTTTTTTAATCTGGTTATTTTGAGAAATAGCAGACATAGGAGAAATTCTAAAAACAGCACAGTTTACCCTTTTATGAGAAAAACTTTATACTTTTAAAGGAAATCTCCATTTGTAAGTGTTCCTGTGTACCAAGGAAAGAAGGATGATGAAATCACAAGAGACTCTTATCAATGGAGAAGACATTGACTTATAACTGCATAGCAAACCTTACTCTTTTTTACCCTGCATTTTCTGATTACTGTTCCATGTCTTGCCTCCTCTATACCCTTTTTTGTTTATTACAGTTGAAGATGCTAACACACCAGAGTTCTAGGCCACCTCTTTGACATTATTCATTTTTCAAGATAGCATCTATGTATATATGAGATATACATGATAATAAACTACTGTTTCTTTTTCTCATGGTAATCTGTTTTTTGTTAAGGAACCTCAACTGTCTTCTGCTTCTAGTTATTCACAGTTTATACGTGAATAACATTTTTCAAACATCAACTAAATACAAACACATAAAACACTTACTATACATATATATTTACATACATTAATTCATATAACTGCCATAATTACTTTTTAAGGTGGGTCCCATTTTTGTGCTCCCCATTTTGCAAATAAGAAAATTTCAGCATTAAGAGGTTGAACAATTTATCAAAGGCTACACAACCAGAGAAGGGGCAGGACTAGGATTTGAACTCAGGGAGAAAACATAATACATTCTATTAATTGAAATGATTTACTTTTTAAGTATGCTTTAATGTATGGTATACTATTATACAAATATTACATAATGAATGAGTAAGAAGTGCAGGAAAAAATAGGTAAACAAATCTTTTAACTAATTATATTTTTACCATGAATTTGTGCTTTAATTCAATTTGATAAACATTAATTGAATTCTACTGGGCTCAGCAGAAGGATTTACATTTGAAAAAGTAGTTATTTCTATATGAAAGTATCTCATATTCTAATGATAAATAAATGAAGAATTTAAACGAAGGAGTTGATAAAATTTAAGAATGTTCTGTTTGGAAAGAAAAGAACCTGCAAAGTTCAAGAAAGATGTGTGGTGTTTTACTCAGGCAGTAGGTGACACTATCTAAACTGAACTGAATGCATTGTAGACAAAATTCTCATATTAAAGCTGAATATTTTTCTTCTTATTTTAAGAAATATAATGATGATTTTCTAGCTATCTGTATTTTGTGTTTTCGTCAGCAAATATGTCTAAAAATTCTTCATTTAAAAATGAAACTTTTTTTCTGAAAAAATGTTTATGTATATATACAAAATAACGTATGTCTACTAGTAAATGACTATGTAAAATTGTAACACAGTTCTAATATCTGTGGTATAATTATCATTAACTTTACATTTAATGTAAACTAATAGTCAAGTGAGAAATATCTTTCCCAGAAAAAATCAAGGAATATGCAGAATAGAGATATATTTTTTACTAGTGATAAAAAAAAACTTCAACTGAATTAAATTTAAAGGAGTTTAATTGAGCAATGAATGATTTGCAAATCAGACAGACTTCTAAGTCACAGTAGGCTCAAAGACTCCAATGTAGCCATGCGGTGGAAGAAGATCTATGGAGAGAAAAAGGAAAGTGAAGTACAGAAAATGAAAGTGAGGTACAGAAACAGCTGGATAGGTTACAGCTCAGCATTTGCCTTATTTGAACATGGTTTGAACAATTGGCTACATTTAATTGGCCAAATATCATTGATTGGCACAAGTGTAGGCTATGGTCTCTTTAGACCTCCACTTGATATAGTTCATGATGTACAGAAAAACCTTTAGACCAAACTTTAATATGTCAGAAGGCAGCTTTAGGCTAAACTTGATTTAACAATTTCCCCATTTGGTAATTTTCTCAATTTTATGAGATTGACCGAAACTTTAGTCATTGATGTCACTATCACCATTGTAAATGTACTTATTTGGTCTAGAAACCCACTGGGAAATAGTAAAACTATGGGTTTTGCAAGGTGGAACAAGGACTGAGTGGAGGTTATCTCCTTATGCTGGAAAACACTGTTTATAGGAGAAAAACAAAACCATGTCTGTTCCAGAACCTATGCTTTTCCTTAAAGTCTTAGTTTGATTACATCACATTTAGCATGAACATTCCATTTTTGCTTGATTTTGTCTCTTGGGGCCTAGTGCATGAGCTCAGTCCAAAACAATAACCTTCCATAATTGTGTTTAAATAAATTCCCCCTTTTTGGTCAGGTTCTCACTTAGGTGAAAGTGTGACCAAAAATTAAGGCCTTAGTGCCAATCTCAGTTACCACCATTTTGGGGTTCCAGTCTCAGCATGTCATTCATAGGTTATGATGTCCTCATGGTCACACATTTCTTGTAGCTCTTGTCATGCCAGTTGAAGAGAGACCATTTGGCATTCTAGAGATGGTTACATGCAAACATTTAAAATGTTTTAGGAAATACAACACACCAGGGAGACTACTATTATGACTATCAGGAGGATAATATCAAGAGTTTGGAGTATGCTTCTAACCCAGGGTCCCCATAAATTAAACCACCTAAAATCAAACAGACAAAAGAATGAGCCTGATGGACTCTACTCTCTTAACTAAAGAGTATCTTCGCTAATCCCCTACAACTGGATCGCTATAATACCTGATGTAATATATTTTTCCATTGTCCACAAGGGCCAGCAGCTGCACAGATACTTCTGTTTAGCCAGAAAGTAATCTAGAAGAATTCTATTATTTAGCAGAAGTTTCCCAAGAGAATTTAAAGTTTGTTGTGTAACCATAGCCTTTCCAGTAGGATCTGCAATAGATCCCATCATGGGAGATACATTTCTAATTATTGCTTCTCTGAATCCAAATCATAGAAAAAGGACCTAACAAATGATATCCATCTAGAAGCATGAAAGCCTCCTGACAATGTTCTTTTCATTAAAGTTTCAGGAATTCTTACTCAGTCCAAATGATAATGATTTTAGAGTTATTAGAAACCTATATTCAAGAGTGCTTTCAGGGTCCTTTCCATCTTTTCATGAACCTCCTAGAAGACACTATATTCTACGATTTTGTGTGTTTGTGAAGTTTTCAGAAACTGTGTCAGCATTAAGCAATTAATATGGAAATGACTTTAAATGGTTATAGTTAAAAACACAATTGACAAGGAAATTTGGCTATTTCTGTGGCCTACAATAACTTAATATAATAACCATAATTATGATTGATAACATATACTTAGACATATTTGAATTTTAGCAATCCCATGCAATTTTGTAACATATGTTAATGTCATTCACTAAAATATAACCTAAAGAAGGTGAAACATAATTTTTTGTTTTGACAATGCTTCTCATGTAACTTAACATGTTAAATAATCCTGTTTACCTCTCCTTTGGATGCTTCAGGGGTTCTCTGTAGCATCCCAAAGTTAGAGGTCAGAAGAGACTATTTTGAAGCTGAAATTTGATTTTGGAAAGCCTATAAAATATGTTAAAGGTTTAAAACACTTGATATTATGAAATAGAATTCCAGGTCACCATAAGTCATTCAGTTGGCCAAAATGATGACTCAAAAACCTTAAAAAGGCATAAATCATTACTCATTGAGAGAGGGACAATTTAGCTTTCAAAACAATCTGTCCCTTGTCTTTATTTCTTTGTTCAGTATTTTATTCAAAAGTAAAACAAAAATTTGCATTATTATTTAATATTACATGAGTATCTGGTTCAAGAAAGAAAGCCAAATTTCACCTTTGCATTAGTGTACTATTAACGTCAACTCCAATCTTTAATAAAACCTTATAGACAAATCTGTCAATCTTAATCAGTTTGACCATAAGGTGAGATGCTCAGAAACTTTCTCTAATCCTCTACAAATATTTGTTAAAGAGCAGATCAGTTCTTAAAGTAAACCCTGTCGTGCTTTTATTCCAATGTTCAATGTACAGAAAAAAATAAGTAATACCCTTTTAAATTTAGCTAATATATATCACACAGAATTTTTTACAAGATCAATTTTTCTCGAATCCTTCACAACTTACTCAAAACTTCAGCTTTATCCTATCTGATTTAAAACAATCCTTTAATCCTCTAAACCAGGCAAAAATTTACATTTTCATGCCTTGTTATAATCTTTTATTAAAAGCATATTTCACTGTCTTCACACACCTTGCATGTACAACATTTTTTAGTAGTCTTAGTCACATGTTACAATGTCAACTTTTAGCAATTTTTATCTTTGATGAAAAGCCTGGTAAGCAAGTGATTTTAATTACGTACTAGGTTTGGAGCCTAGGTCACCAGACTGAAGTGCAGATATGGTCTGATTCTTTTCAGCATAACTAGGGGCATAGGTAACTCCATATGTCCCAGAACTTACCTTACCAAGCTGTAAAGCGGCGAGTTGAACGATTTTTAAAAGCCAAAAAAGCAGTTTATTACCTAAAATCATTTAGCAAACCTAATATCTGAACTGCTTGATTTAGACAAAATGTCTTTATGTTACCAATAATTTTTAAAACTCTTTATTTCTGAAAGCTTATTAAGTCACATGAAGTAAAAGGCATTAGTTTTAATTTTTTGACAAAGTCTTTAAATTATTTGATTTGAAATCAATTTGCTTATTTTTCTTTAAGCCAATTAATTAGAGCTCTTTTATATAAACATCACAAACACAACACATATATAACTATGCATACAGACAGAAGAAGATCCAGTAGTTGTCAGATTTTTCATTTGCCAGTTTTTAACTTTCTTAAATGGATTACTGGCTTCAAGATGGAGTTCTTCAAGGAAGAGGGCCAGAAAAGCATGCATTTTCTAGGGCCTTATAAACAGGCAGAGCTTGAAGACAAAAGCAGATTTCCAAAATTAAGGGTCCCATTTTTATATCACATTCTGGATCCCCTGAAACAGAAATGCTATGGGAGAAGACAGTGTAATGCTTATACCTTGCATTTCATTGCATGGCAACCCAGCCAATCAGCCGATTTTGCAATCAGCCCATCTTGCAATCAGCCTATCACCAATGGGAGTCTTATCTCTCAGTGCCAGGTGGGAACATTTCCATACCTTCTAGGTGGCCAAGCGTATGCATCTCTAATCCAAACATGCAAAGAGCTGAGTATCTGACATAAATGCAATTAGCCATCCCTAAAAGTACATTTCCTACCCAGTTATTACACACAAAAGTTCTCTCATATTGAGAAGTAATTTCCGTTAATCGCTTAACTCAAACTTATCAGATAACACAATGAAAAACACAACACAGCCTTACATTTTGAGAGGGATCTATATACTTTGAATTCCTGGGGTTTCACAAGAAAAACAGAGGTTTTTCCTAAAACAGGATCTATGGTGGCTACTCTGTTTTTCCCAAGGAGTCCCACACTATTAGAAGTTATCTTAGGTCCTCTCAGGTGTGCATTATGAGTGGCAAGAAGAAAAAAATAAAGAAAAAACATTTCAGTCCACTGAGAAGAAAAGAAAACACCCTTTGCTTCAGAAAAATAAGATTCAAGAAGAGAAAGAAAACAAAAAAAGGCCTCTTAAATATACGTAGAGGTTGGATAGCCACTTTTAATTAAGCTGACTTTTAACCACAGCTCTTGCAAAAAAAAAAAAAAAAAAATTCCTTGTAAATTTCTTATTACCCTACTTTAGCCAGGCCAAACAGGAACTATTCCTGGCTTTTAAATGTTACCAAAATTAACCTCATGGGTAAAACTAACAAGCTTTAAAAAAGGTTATGGCTTAACCATGAGTGTACAAGTGTATGAGGTATTTTCAAAGAGGTGGTAAACAGTTGTTACAGAAGTTGGAATCTTCAAAGGTAGCTCAGAGAAAGGAAAACTTAAGAAGGGAACCTAGAAGTTGTTCATGGAGGGGAAGAGAATCAACAAATGTTAAAGGTCACACAGATATCAACAAGAAATATACTAATTCCCTAAGCCAAGATTGAACCCAGGCCACCATTTTGAAATGGCAAAGCCTTAGCTGCTGAGGCAAAGGAGCATTGGGAAGTTTCCATTGCTCTTCCCAGAAGGAGTCTAGAGCAGTCAATTTTGAGCTTGCAATGACTTTTAACTACTCAAGATAATTTGTAGAGCTGTTACATGAACCACCAAATTCCTGTTCCCTAGATGGCAAAGACCAAGAGAAAGTACCACAATGTAGTTACAAGATCAAGCTCCTAAGGACATAAAACAAGATGGAGACCTCATCCAGTTTTTTGTTTGTTTCAGAGACTTGCAGCAAAGTTTGTCACTGACTAGCTTGCTGGGCCATCTTGAACAGTGAGCTTATGGAAACCTAAGCTCATGTTCTATCATAAGGTACCCCTTTCGTGACAAAACAACACAAAAAGACAAATTCATACCACAAAGTTTACCAGATTATTACAGCTTAAGAGTAGTCTCATAAATCATTTTTCTCATTAATTAAAACTTTCCAAGATATAGTGAATTTTATCATTCCCTCAACTGTTTTGCACAGAGAGAGAGCAAGAGAGAATCATTGCCTGTGGCAGGGTGTGGAAGGTGATTAGCTCTAGGAGGTTAGAGAAAAACCCACCCATTGTAGCGAACCTGAATCAAAAGTTCAGATGGCTGCTTGTTAGTCATGAAGGAGTCTTTTCCAGCAATCCCATCAGCTCTCAATTTTTCCCCTTTGAGGAGAAAATGTTTCCCATTTTCCATGGTCCAGTACATGCCTAATCCTGTCACTCATTGCCATCAGGAAAAACTGCAAGGCAGATTTCTTTTTTTAATCAATTGGTCACTCAAGTTTTTATTTGCCTTATGTAAAGTCTTTAAATAAAAATACCGAAAACTTTTTAGAAGCTTCTGCATGCCAATAGGCATCCCTAGATGAGAGACTAATTTGGGAACTCTCATTTTCAAATGCACTTCAGTGCAGTTTTGTTCATTTGGAACATTCTACTGGAAGTAATCTTTAGTAAGATTTTGCCATTTCTGTAAGAATTTGCTGCTCAGTTCTTCAGAAATTAAGAATCCCATTTTTACCTAAGATACTGGCTTTGCTCTTGGGTTCCTAGATTAACTTACCCAATTTTTTTTTTTTCCTATCTAAGCATGTAAGAAAAATGAAATAAAGGAGTAGAAGACAAAACCCCTGTGAATTTCCAAAAAGCCAAATTTTATACCCTCTGCAATATTACCATTTACTATCTGTTTCTTTCTGACCCATTCAGATGTAAGAGGCCTCTAACTGGATCCAAGCCAGTTGATTCCTTAATTAAATCCAATTATGGCCCCAGTCCCGTATCTGTCATGACTTCCAAAGACAGTTTGGATCAGAAATTTGCTCAAAGAAACTGAGAGAACCCAAAACACAAATCCGTGGAGCTCCAAAATCCAGGAGAGAACATACCATTATCCCTAGCTGCTGCAATTTTTACACTTTTTAAATCTTTAATGAAAAAAATGGTTTACACTATATTATTGAACTATTATTTATTGAGTTGGATAATATACATGACCCTCTGCTTAATAAGAGACATAAATTTGAAAAACAGTGACTGAAAATTTCAAAATCTCTCTTGTGCTAACTGAATTATGTACATTTTCTTTTAACCAATGTCTTATAAGTGGTGGCAGAATTTACTTCTACACTCTTAGATTTTTTTTTTTTAAACTGGGCCTAAGAGTTAAACTAACATAAAACAGATTATCAGGAGAAAAGCATACAAATTTATCTAATTTAATTTATAAACAGTAAGGTAGGAGGCTGGCAGGACTTATTTTCCAGTAATGATCCTGCTAATTGAAGCAGAATCTGGTTGATTCTCAGGGTGAAGTGAGGAAGCTGTCCCAAACCTGCAGATGGCAATGAAAGTGACATCTAGTTGCCCTCACTGCTTGTTAGCATAATGACACTCCCACTGGCACAATGACAGTTTACAAATGCCATGGCAATGGACCATGATAGTGGCCCAGAAGTTATCTTACATGATTCCAGAAACTCTCCTCCCTTTTTCTAGAAAGTTCTGAGTAATCTGCCCCTTAATTGTCATGTAAGCAAAAGTGGATATAAATGCAACTGCCAACAGCCCATATGCTGCCAACTCTGGGCACACTGGCTGTGGGTTAGCCCTGCTCTGCAAGGAGCAGCACTGATTCAATAAAAGTTGCCCTCTCTCACCTCTGATTTGCCCTTGTATTCTTTCCTGAGGGAAGCCAAGAAACTTCCCAGGCTAAGTCTCAATTTTGGGGCTCACTTGTCCTGTATCATCTTGGTGATCAAAAAGGGATGAAACTAAATGGTAAAATGGCAATTGGTGATTGACAAGGTGACAAGTTGGCAATTGGCAATCAGTGAGACAATGAGATGGTGAGATGGCGAGAGGTGGCAATTGGTGAAATAGTTGGGTGGAGAGAAGGTGAAAGGCAATGATTGGTGAGACAGTGAGGTGGTGAGGCAGCAAGATTATGATTGATGAGGCATAACACTGTAGAGCTGTAACTCTAGCCAAAGGCTCTTTTCAGAGCCATCATCTTTCCTGGGAGGTGGTGGAAGCAGATCTGAGCAGACAGATGGGCAAGCAGCCACAGTGTCACCTCATATAAAAAGACCCACCATTCTGGCTGGCTGGTTACAGGATCATACTCCAATCCTCTCATGGCAGCTGAGCCAGCCCAACCTGTAAAGCTTGGGTGGAGACCTTCACCCAAGCCACACATTGGAGACAAGTCAGTATCATTTTGGCTCCTGTGGATGGGTAAGTGTTCCTTCTGCCCCCCTTTCAACATTGGGTGAGCCTGGAAATAAGACCTTGGCTAGGTAGTCCATTCAAAATCCCCTGCCATTTGAGTGCCCTGAATGGAAGCACAATGGATCAGCTTTGTCCTTGTCAGCCCTTCTCTCAGCCATTTCTCCTCTAACACCATTTTAATTTTTTGATTGGAAATTTTATTTTAATTTACCTTCCACACTGAAATATATGTTTCATTTGCAGTTTTTGCTTTAGCTCCCCATTAACGCATTTGGGCAAGTGTAGAAGGCAGAACACCTGATTGTGAGAGCGTTCATTCTAGAAGTGTGAGTTAGAGTCCCACCTTCAGTGTTGGTCATCCCCATGTGCTCTGGGGTTTTTGACATTGGATATTGTGGTTTAGAGGCCTACTCTAGAGAGGTATTGTGAGTTAGAGGCCCACTCTAGGGGGTCTCTAAACCACCTCCGATTTTTGGTATTGCCTTGTCTGTTTTCTGCTCTAAAGTTCAAAATGATTATCTTGTCATTCTGTTTTTACACCCCCTTATAGACTTTGTTTAATAAATATATTCCTTTTGTTGTATTTCATTCACTGGCAAATGCTTATAATCCATTTTCTCATAAAAAGGAGAGGAGAATAACTCTCTTCTTTAGCTTTTTTGTCAGCTTCTGTGATTTTTTTATCCTCTGGTTCTAACTGTTGTTATGGCCTGTTGCTGAAATATTTCATCTTAGAGGTATATAAAAGCAATGATTTTCTCCAGTATAGCTTGATGCTGTACTCTTGTTTTCTCTTGATGTGTAGCCTTATTTTTGGCTTTTAGTCTTAGTCTCTTATATTGTTTAAAAAGTGTTTTAAGAACAAATGGGTGCCTGCCCACCATGCTTCTTGTCTGGCCTAGAACATTTAATTGACAATAAGAAGCCTGAAAAACAAATTTAGGCCGTGAAAAGAAACAGGATGTCAGATATACCTCACTATACCCCCCTTTTTGGAATTTAGGCCAGGTCCAAAATGCCCTTCAAGAATATGGAAATTCTATTAAAACCCTGGAGAGAAGAATCCCCTGAGGTTCAATTACAATCAAAATGGAAGGGCCCCTCTCAGGTACTTATTTTTAAGTAGCTGCCCTGTGTCCCATCCTTGATGATAAAAAAAAATGATACTTTCCTTGTGGTGCAGAGAGGACATCTTTCACATGGGAATCTCATCACTTGCTTTTAAGAAAGAGAAGGAAAGTCAGAGTGGTCTTGATGCTGTATTTTTTCAAGTGTCTTTAACTCAAAATAATCAATATCCAGGAGTAGCAGGTTTGAGGATGGCATGGTCTTAAATTCTTCAGTTTGATATGAAATTATTTACTTTATTTTTCTTTTTATTTATGAGATCAATTAATGTTTATGACAAAAATAACTAAAATGATATGGAGGTATACACTGTGGAAAAAAAAATCTCTCATGATCCTTTTCCCATCTTATTCTTCAGAAATAATCATAGTAAAGGTTTGATATGTTTCCTTTAAGATTTCTTCTTTATCCATATACAGGAAGCATTTTTTTTAGTGTCATATAACATTGTACATTGGGTTATATGACTTACTTTTTTTCACTTAATCATATATATGGGAACCTTTAAATATCTTTGTACGTAACTCTTTTTATATCACTTATTGGAATTCATGAATACTGGATATACTAGTATTTCTTTACTAACAATTCATTGATTGACATGAAGATTGCTTCCAACTTCTCATTGTTAAAAATGATGCTGTAATAATCGGTATCTTGTGTATCTGCACGCAAAGTTAAACTTTTCTCCCATAAGGTAAGTTCTCAGAAGTATGAATACTGATTCCAAAGATAGTCACATTTTACATTTTGTTAGGTACAGTCATATTTCCTCCAGAAAATGTACCATAATTTAGAATTTTATCAAGAGTGAGTGATACCATTCCTTTCTACACCCTTGCCAGCACTGGATATTGTAAATGTTTTTATATTTTGTCAATGTGACAGATGAAACATAGCTTCTGATGCATATTTCTGGGTTTTAAGGGTACTCTTTCATATATTCAACACAGTTAATAGCTGCTTATACGTATTATGTTCTAAGAACCTTTGCAGGCACAGCAATAGATAGGTTAAAAAAGAAAACAGAAAAAAATGTTTCATAGAGTTTACATTATAGTGGAGTAGCTGCAATTTTTATTTTTTCATTATTGCCTTTATAATAAAAATTGGCAGTGACATAAGTGACTAATGGTACAGGATATGATAAATCTATACAATGGAATATTATGGAGCCACTAAAGAAATTATGCCAATATGTATTTAATGACATGAAAATATATACATGACCTACTTTGTTAAAAAAAGCTAATGTTGATGAATCTTTCAAATATAAAATTGTGACTCATAAAAATATAAACTTGTTTCAAATACTTTAACATCAACTAATTTAGGAACCTTTAGGTTGTTATAACTAATTCAAAGAAGAATTTAGAAAATACATTAACCTACGTAAGCCATAAGGAATGCTAAAATTGCTTTACAAAAATATTCCAAATTGGTCAATATACAAGTGCAATAATCCATAGTATCTCCAGTGGATTAAAATAGTTTTTCTTTGCACAAAGGTCATTTACTTTATTGCCAGTATTCTACAACTTACTGACTGGTAAAGTAACTTAAGTACGATGACAGGCACAGATAATCCTGAATGGTATACTTGACAAGACTCTTAGTAATATTTTTTGGCTGATTTCAAAGATTTTTTTCCTTTTTTCTGACACAGTTTACCAAAGGGTTTAGTTGCATAGAAACAAATTTGGAGGGTGAAAAATGTTTAATAATAGTTATCAGTTGATGAAATAAATATATTCAATTTTATATTTATTTTTATGTATTTCATTTTCTAGTTTAATATTCATACTGAGGATAAATTTTTAATAACTATACAAACCATTATTGGCTACATAAATTACTACTTACTTTAAAAGTAAATTTGAATCACACAATAAACCACAGAAATACGCATCAATATGTACTTATCTAGATCTGCTATACAATTTTCAAGTGAAATTTCTCAATATCCATTTCTATGTGTATAATAAATTAAAATGACATTATTTCCTTTCTGTTTTTTACATTGAGAATGCCAGGATTAAAGGAAACCATTCACAAAATGATATTTAAAATCAAACTCACAGGGTTAACAAAATAATCATAATTTTTATACTAAATTTTTAAGGCTAGCAAACTTGTTTTCTGCTTGGACACTTTATATGCAAATTCAAGATGTCATAATTTTCATATTAAGTTTTTAAGGCTAGCAAACTTGTTTTCTGCTTGGACACTTTATATGCGAATTCAACATGCTCTCTGGAATCTTATTGGAATTTGAACATAACCTAAGATAATCTGATTGATTAAAAATATTGTTATTAAATTATAATACAAAGAAAAGTACATGGATCAGAATTGAAGAGTTTATTGAATTTTCAGAAACTGAACACAGTGAAACACAAATTAAGAAAGAGTATATTGTAAGCAACTGAGAAGATCTCTACTGTCTACTTAAAGTCATGACCATTGCCAAGGGTATCCACTATCCTAACTTCAACCTGGATAGACCAATTTTCCTTGTTTTGTACTTTATACAAATGAAATCATATAGTAGGTAATGCTTGTAGCCTATAGTATTTCACTCAAAATTGTTCTTTTGAGATTTATCTACATTTTTGCTTGAGCACTGTTTTATATGTATACTGCTATTGGGGAATTTACCATGTGTTTCCCTCCAGATTTTTTTTTCTGTTTTATTTTGTGGTCCCTTTCTACCACTTCCATATATTTCCTCTATGTAGGAATTATCTTTATATAATTAATGCTAACAATTTTCAGTTATATTTTATAAATGTTTTCAAGTATTTGCCTTTTAAATTTATGTTTTTCATTATTCAACATTTTGCAGTTTCTATTTAATTGTGTACATCAATTTTTTTAAATAAAAGTTTTAGGATTTTGTATTATGCCTAGAAAGTCTTTCCTTACCCTAAGAGTAGAAGCACATTCTGTATTAAGTATTTCTTAAAAGTGTCATCATGGTAAGAATTGCTTTATTTTATGAAACTCATTTGATTTCCCTAATTGCACTATTTTAATCATAATACTTTAAACATTTGGAAAACACACTGTAAGAAAATTGAGAATAGTTATGGTATTAAACTGTCTATATATGATTTAAATTATGTTTTTCACATAAGTATATATTTTAAGAACATACACACACATACACACACACACACACACACACACACACACACATGCTCTGGTGAATTTGTAAAATGCTGAAAAGAAAGAGGAAAATGAAGATCTGCTTTAATCTGCTACTCAAAAATCAGGTTCATATCTTGGCATATACTCTTTCAGTACATTTTTTATCCATGTATATATAATTTTGGCATTTGTGCGTACTTCATATAATGTTTTATATTCTGTATAATGAGTATTTTTCTATATTTTTCCAAAGCTATTCTTTTAATTTCTATAACTTAAGTCATCACATGGATGTACAATAATTTATTCGATGTATTCTTTATTGTCATTTAGATAGCTTAAAATACATTTCAAGCAATACAGAACACTTCAGTGAAGAGGTTTGTGCCTTAATATTTGTAAAACTTTATCATTATTTCCTGAGGAGATCTTGATATGGTTTGGCTCTGTGTCCCCATCCAAATCTCATCTCAAATTGTAATTCCCACCTGTCCAGGGAAGGGACCTCTAATCCCCAGGTGTCAAGGGAGGGAAGTGATTGGAACATGGGGCAGTTTCCCCCATGCTGTTCTCATGATAGTGAGTGTGTTCTCATGAGACCTGATGGTTTTTAAAGTGGTAGATTTTTTCTGCACTCTCACTTTTACCTCCTGCTGCCTTATGAAAAAGATGCCTGCTTCCCCTTCTGCCATAATTGTAAGTTTCCTGAGGCTTTCCCAGCTATATGGAATTGTGAGTCAATTAAACATCTTTCCTTTATAAATTACCCCATCACAGGTATTTCTTTATAGCAGTGTGAGAGTGGACTGACACAGATCTCTAGACATTAAAATATGTGGTGAAAAGATATGACTTTTTTTTTTTTTTTTGAGTTGGTGTCTCACTCATTGCCCAGGCTGGAGTGCAATGGCACAATCTCGGCTCACTGCAACCTCAGCCTCTCAGGTTCAAGTGATTCCCCTGCTTCAGCCTCCCGAGTAGCTGGGATTACAGGTATGTACCACCATGCCTGGTTAATATATATATATATATTTGTATTTTTATTATATATATTTTATATATTATATATATAATATATATATTTTTAATATATATTTCATATTTTTATATATATTTAAAATATATAATATATAATGTATAATTAATATATATTTAATATATATTTTTAATATATTTAATATATATTTTATATTTTTTATTTTTTAATATATTTTAATATATTTAATATATTTTATATATATATACAAATATATATATTTGTATTTTTAGTAGAGACATGGTTTCACCATGTTGGCCAGGATGGTCTGAAACTCCTGACCTCAGGTGACACTGCCACCTTGGCCTCACAAAGTGCTGGGATTACAGGCATGAGCCACAGCACCCAGCCAGGTATGACTTTTTTGAAGTGTTTATTTTTAATATATATTTTTCTCTTTTTTACTTTTTCTTCTTCTTCCTCTTCATCCCCCTCTTTTTCCTCTTCCTCCTTATCTTCCTCCTTCTTCTTGCTTTTCCTCTTCCTCTTCTTTTTCTTCTTAACATATTAACACTACACTGCCAAATTGCTCTGAATAAGAAATGTACCAATTTATGCTCTCAACAGTAATGAATGAGTGTGCCTACACTTAGCTAACTTTTACAAACATAAATCTAAAGTTTTTACAATCCTCTCTAATTTCATAGGAGTGTAAATTTTTAATACTGGGATATTGACTCTTACTAGTACTAATTTGTGTTAGATCAATTTTTTTTTAAGTTATGGTTTCTTCTTTAACTTTTGTTGTTATTGAGGCCTTATGTACTCCCCAAAAGGGCAGATTTTCATATGTTTTTAAAAATATTTTTAACTTCATTTGCATTTAGAACTTAAATCTGAGCTTTATATTGCCTTATGATGATAGGAATCAAATTTTGATTTCCTATAGCCAATTCCTCTCATATCACTTAATTACTAACATCTTCTTTTCATATTGATTTAAAATGTCATCTTTATCTGCCTCTTTTTCATATAGATAAGTATTTACTTGGAACCTAACAGTACCTATATTTTATTAAAATGTTCATACTTATTGCATCATTCAGATAAATTAATCAACTTAAGACAAGATTACATCATTTTGAAAATCTATTTTGTATATTCTAAGCCATGAGAAAGAATTTGGGCATAACATGAACTCTTACATTAATTATAATTTTAAATTAATACTAATAGAATAAGGCCAGCACTAATATAGCATTTAGTATATACCAAGCACTGTTATTATAAGTACTTATATAAAATTAATTTGTAAATCTCATCAACTTTAGAAGGCAATATTATTATCATTATCTCCATTTTATATATTTGGAAATTGGTGTATCAAAAAGATAAGTAAATTGCCCGATGCTACACAAATATTTTGTAGTAAAACCTGGTATCATTTATTAAATCTTATTATGTACAAGACATTAGCCTAAAGACATGGGATTCATTAACTTTAATTATAAAACATTATAAGTAAGCATTGCTATTCTTTTAGAGGTGAAGACAAACAGGTTAAATATAGTTAAGTACACTTGCTATTGTTACACAGATGTCAATGACAGACATACACATAAAAATTGGCCAATCTTGCTTCAAAGAGCACGACTTTTATTATGCTTCTTCCGAAACTGATTAATAATCTACACTTAGTCTAGGTCTCTGGGCACATTACCAGAATTCTTCCTGACATACCCTAAATATAGTCATCAGCTGATTTTATCAGCTACCACCATTCTGTGATAAGTAACAACAAAAAAGCAAAACACAGAAAATACAATAAAGCAAAATTCTCAATCATGAAAATCACTAAGCCTTTTCTAATTATATCACTGCATTCTCAGACTTTATAACTGTGTGATTTTATACAAGTTACTTAACTTATTTGATCTCTGTTCTTTAATCTGTTATTTCATGTAATAAGTAATAATTCCTACCTTAGGTACCCAGGACAATGAATTAAATAAGAGATTAAAATTGTCTAACAAAATGTCTGAATTCCAGTAAGTACTCATTGAATAGAAGTTAGTTTAATCATTTAAAAATTTCCTTTTAATGTATTTGTTTTGAAAGACCACAGGCAGATTAGCTGAAATTCACTGTAGCATGACAAACTTAAAAACATTATTTTAGCCAAAAAGATCTAAGCAGGATTAGCGAATAGGAAATCAAAGATCCTTGTTCTCAGGATATAATATTAAATCCTTTTTTAATAAAATGTGAACATTCAAATAAAATACTTTTGTCTACAATTACTACAACATTTCTGAGGATTATAAAAGGACAGTAAATCAAACTATGGCTTTTGGCCAAAATATTTCAAATTTTCCTATTCAAAATGCTGTCTGGGGCCTGTACCAAAACTTTTACAGTTTAATTAAAATTCCACTTTTCTTAACAATTTGATAAGTATTGTCTGCAGTGATTTATAATATAATGAATAAGATGCCTATTTGTTTATTATTTTTCTTTTTCTAAAGACCTTTAACTAGACTGCCATTGGCTCCTAATCTGCCTATCTTCTGTTAACAGGAAAACCAATGCACAGAATGCCCATCACCATAATGGAGAAATGTAATGTATCTTAAGATTTTGAAGCCAGTAAGGAAAAGCAAAGCTTTTCATTTTGGAAAGCATCAAATATGCACAAAAGTAGATCTTTTTGTGTAATGAACTCTTGTGTACCCATCATACAGCTTCAATAACTACCAAATAATGCTTTATTTTGTTTCATCTTAACCCAACCCACTCATCTTCCCAGTCACCAGTGAATAATTTTGAAGCAAATTCCAGACATCATTATGTCATTTCGTTCATACATACTTCAGTATGTGTCTCAGCATGATAGAGATTATGTGTGTGTGTGTGTGTGTGTGTGTGTGTATGAATGTATGTATATATACATACAGCCACTACATTTGGCTTGTGTCTACTATTTTTATTAGTATGGATTATATAACATTTATATATTACACTAAGTAGTTCTGGACTACAGATTTGATCAGATTCAGGATCAATTGTGTGGTAAGCCTATGTCATTTGTGGGGTTTCATACTTCCATCATGGACACGTAACATTTGGCTGTCTCCCTTAATATGATAATAGCATCCCTAAGCCACTGATGATTATTGCATAGATACATTAATTAATTAGGCCTTAGAAAATATTGGTATTCAAACTTAAAATTCCTTTGTTATTAATTATCAGAAAATATTGGTATTCAAACTTAAAATTCCTTTGTTTTTAATTATCTGGAATACTACTGTACAAAGAATAATGAGAAACATCTACTTATTGAGTTTGTGGTTTTCTGGAAGTACAGTGTATAAAGTAAAGGCAAAATTAATGTTTGAATCAATTCATTTACAAATCTCCAGTGATGAACTGATGTTTTAACAACCTCCAAGAGTGACAAATTAGGATTTTTCTTATTTTGTCATGAATAAAAATATATCAAAACTACTGGGTTGTATCAAAAGAATTTAAGAGTCAATCTGAAGAGGTTTCTAATTCTTCAAAGCATAATTCAAAGATATGAAAATTGGAGGATCAATAATGATAATTACTGAAATGGAGAGAAACATATCCAATATGTTCAAATTCATTAACTTATAATAGAACCAACACTTTTATCCAAATTCAATAGTATAGGAAGTCATAAAAAGCATAATCAAATTTCATATAGTGATAGTAATAATAACCATAATAATAATGAATGAGCAACTGTGATACATCAGGTACTGTTTAATATCACTTACTAGCTTTGTAACTTAAGGTGAATCAGTTTTTCTCCCTATGCCTCAGTCTCCTTCTCTGTAACGTGAATGCAATTACAGTACATACCTCATTGTTATGTACATTAAATGAGTTAACATTTGGAAAAGGGCTAAGAATAATGCTTGGCAAATATTGTCTTATATATGTGTTTGTTATTTTTAAGAACTCACATAAAATTTATGAACACTTAATGTGCACAACAATCTTGTGGAGTAGATACTATTATTACCCTAATTTCAGAAACAAATGAAAAACTAAGCACAGAGTTAGTTTCTTGTCTGTGGTCATAGAATACTTAGCGGCTTTGTTTTACCACACATGAAGGATATATTTATTTCAAACTGGTAGATTAATTGTGATGGTTAATGTTACATTTCAGCTTGACTGTGCTAAAGGATGCCCAGATAACTGGTGAAACATTATTTCTAGTGATACCTGTAAGGATGTTTCTGGAAGAGATCATTCTTTTAATCAATATACTGAAAGACAATTGTCCTCACCAGTGTGGGTGGGCATCATCCAGTCTCCTGAAGGATGAATAAAACAAAAAGCCAAATGAAGAGAAAATTCATTTTCTCCTTTTGATACAGGACATTCATCTTTTCCTTCCTTCAGACATCATTGCCCCTGGTTCTCAGGCCTTCAGACTTGAACTGGGATTTACTGACGTCATTGGTACCCCTGGATCTCAAGCCTTGGGCTTAAATTAGAACTACATCACTGATTTTCTCGATCCTCCAGCTTGCAGATAGCAGATCATGGGACTTCTCAGCCTCCATAATGGCATGAGCCAATCCCTTATAATCAATCTTTGTACATATCTGTAGATATCCAGTTAATTATTTTTCTCTGAAGAACCCTAATACTTTAATTATTATTCAATAAGTTTTGGAGGAAAAAGCATGCTCAGATTTCTTAGATTAATGATATTGTTGTGAGTCTATTATACAAATAATAGAAAACTGAAATAGTATAGAGGAGAAACTCATAGCCATATTATCACACTGGGTTCCATCCTTTCCAACATTTGGCATATAACTTGCCTCCAGAAAGATTAGGATGTTCTGCCTATTAACATTCCATAAACCAAAGAATTTGATGGGACCTATTATCTATTTAAACAATTTAGGCAGATTTGCACATTAAACCATATAAATCAAAGAAAATACCCATGATAAGTTTCAATCATTTTAGAGGTTTATTTGCTAAGGTTAAGGAGCATGGCCCATGACACAGCCTGAGGAGGTCCTGATAACATGTGCCCATGTTCATTGTGTCACAGTGTGACTTTATACATTTTAAGGAGATAGAAGTTGCAGGCAAACAAATAAATCAATACATGGAAGGTATACATTGATTCTGCCTAGAAAGGCAGGACATTTCAAAGTAGGGGCTTCCAGGTCATGGGTGGATTCAAAGATTTTTCTGATCAGCAAGTGGTTGAAAGAATTAAGCCCTGGCTGAAGAATTGAATTCAGCATAAAGAAATGCTTGAGTTAAGATAAGGTAGGACTTGTGGAAACCAAGGTTCTTATGTAGATGAAGCTTCCAGGTATTAGGCTTCAGAGAGAACAGATGGTAAATGTCTCTTATAAGGACCTTAAATGGTGTCAGACTCTCTGGAAAAGATCTAGTAAAGGAAGGGATTATATACAGAATGGAAATTTCCCTCACAAGAGATGGCTTTGCAGAGTCATTCCTAAATATGCTAAAGAAATATATTTTGGGGCAAAACATTTTAGTTGCCTTTGGGGCCTGTTATCTGTCACATAGTGCTATACCAGAGTCAGGTTGGAGTTGGGTATTGTAATGCTACAAAGAGTTTCTTTTGTCAGTGTTATAATCTCTATTTTAATGTTAATGCTGGTCAGTTGTGCCTAAACTCCAAAGGGAAGCATGTCTAACCCCCACCTCCTCATGTCCTGAACTAGTATTTCAGGTTTCTTTAGAATCCCCTCAGGCAAGAGGTCATGCATTTATTTGGTTGGGAGGCTTAGCATTTTATTTTTGGTTTGCTACCACTTGGGAGAGATATTGGTGCCCCCTCATGTACTGGTAACAATTTTTAGCTCAGGGACTAATTCTTTGTTGATTTAGTCATGACCAAGATAACACTGTTGGTTTTATTTCACAATTATGATGTAGGCATGTAGCAGGACAAGCCGCAGGCAAAACCCCTCAGACACCGAGTTAAAGAAGGAAGGGCTTTATTTGGTCGGGAGCTTCGGCAAGACTCACATCTCCAACAACTGAGCTCTCTTGAGTGAGGAATTCCTGTCCCTTTTAAGGGCTCACAACTCTAAGGTGGTCCCTGTGAGAGGGTCTTGATCGATTGAGCAAGCAGGGGGTACATGACTGGGGGCTGCATGCACCTGTAATTAGAATGGAACAGAACAGGACAGGGATCTTCACAGTGCTTTTCTTATGCAAGTAACCCATTAGGTCAGGGTTTGATCTTTAACTACCAGGCCCAGGGTGTGGTGCAGGGCTGTCTGATTGTGGATTTCATTTCCCACTTTTAGTTTTTACTTCTTCTTTCTTTGGAGGCAGAAATTGGGCATAAGACAATATGAGGGGTGGTCTCCTCCCTTAGCCACAGATACTTTTTATTTGAAAAAAGGATTTATGGTTAGTTTCTCAGAAGAGGAGGTGTTCATAGGCTGCTCTTAAAAGATTAAAGAGGGCCCTTGCAAACATGATTTGGGGAATATCATTAACAGAACTCTTATGTAATCCTGCATTTGTAGATTAAAATGGAAAAATTGACAGATAGGAAGAAAGAGAGGCATCAGATATATAGAATATATGATCCTTTCAGTCATGGACTTTACATCTCAGTCTTGAAAACAAAAAAAGTTATATTAAATGATTCAGTTACAACTGAAATACAATACAAATATCAGCAAGTTTTAGATAATATTTTGGGAAATGAATGCGTTTAAACAAACTAGATGTACAATCAGAAAGAGATCAAAGGCTTCAATTTATAATCTCTGATAATACTACATAGTTTACCAAACTGGAGTATTGGCTGATAAAAAGGACAGTAGAATAAAAAATTCCCTCGAATTGTTCCTCATATTCTTTTTCAGAAAAAACACGATTCATGGGTAACATATGTGGTGTTGAAAGACTCCTTTTAAAAAGAGAAACATACCTTTAAAAAGCCTCAGTCTCTTCAACTATTGGCAAATTTAAATCTACAAAATACTGTCATATTTATTCCATTTAGTTTCCATGATAATAAAAACTGGTCATATATAATTATTCTAGGTTGTTTATTAGTAAAGATAACATCAGGCCTCTGAGCCCAAGCCAAGCCATCGCATCCCCTGTCACTTGCACGTATACACCCAGATGGCCTGAAGTAACTGAAGAATCACAAAAGAAGTGAATACACCCTGCCCCACCTTAACTGATGACATTCCACCACAAAAGAAGTGCAAATGGCCGGTCCTTGCCTTAAGTGATGACATTACCTTGTGAAAGTCCTTTTCCTGGCTCATCCTGGCTCAAAAAGCACCCCCACTGAGCACCTTGCGACCCCCACTCCTGCCCTTCAGAGAACAACCCCCCTTTGACTATAATTTTCCTTTACCTACCCAAATCCTATAAAACAGCCCCACCCCTATCTCCCTTCACTGACTCTCTTTTCGGACTCAGCCCGCCTGCACCCAGGTGAAATAAACAGCCATGTTGCTCACACAAAGCCTGTTTGGTGGTCTCTTCACACAGATGCGCATGAAATTTGGTGCCGTGACTTGGATTGGGGGACCTCCCTTGGGAGATCAATCCCCTGTCCTCCTGCTCTTTGCTCCGTGAGAAAGATCCACCTATGACCTCAGGTCCTCAGACCGACCAGCCCAAGAAACATCTCACCAATTTCAAATCCGGTAAGCGGCCTCTTTTTACTCTCTTCTCCAACTTCCCTCACTATCCCTCAACCTCTTTCTCCTTTCAATCTTGGTGCTACACTTCAATCTCTCCCTTCTCTTAATTTCAATTCCTTTCATTTTCTGGTAGAGACAAAGGAGACATGTTTTATCCATGGACCCAAAACTCCGGCGCCAGTCACGGACTGGGAAGGCAGCTTTCCCTTGGTGTTTAATCATTGCAGGGACACCTCTCTGATTATTCACCCACGTTTCAAGGGTGTCAGACCACGCAGGTACACCTGCCTTGGTCCTTCACCCTTAGCGGAAAGTCCTGCTTTTCAGGGGAAGGGGCAAGTACCCCAACCCCTTCTCTCCTTGTCTCTACCCCTTCTCTGCTTTTCCAGGGAAAAGGCAAGTACCCCTTCTCTCCTTGTCTCTACCCCTTCTCTGCTTTTCTGGGGAAAGGGCAAGTACCCCAACCCCTTCTCTCCATGTCTCTACCCCTTCTCTGCTTTTCTGGGGGAGGGGCAAGTACCCCTCAACCCCTTCTCCTTCACCCTTAGCAGCAAGTCCTGCTTTCCTAGGGGGCAAGAACTCCCCAATCCCTTATTTCTGAACCCTGATCTCTTATCTCTGTGCCCCAATCCCTTATTTCTGCACCCCAACCTCTTATCTCTGTGCCCCAATTCCTTATTTCCATGCCCCAACCCTTTCTCTGCTTTTCTGGAGGGCAAGAACCCCCAACCTCTTCTCCGTGTCTCTACTCTTTTCTCTGGGCTTGCCTCCTTCACTATGGGCAAGTTTCCACCTTCCATTCCTCCTTCTTCTCCCTTAGCCTATATTCTTAAGAACTTAAAACCTCTTCAACTCTCACCTGACCTAAAATCTAAGCATCTTATTTTCTTCTGCAATGCCGCTTGACCCCAATACAAACTCGACAGTAGTTCCAAATAGCCGGAAAATGGCACTTTCAATTTTTCCATCCTACAAGATCTAAATAATTCTTGTCATAAAATAGGCAAATGGTCTGAGGTGCCTGATGTCCAGGCATTCTTTTACACATCAGTCCCTTCCTAGTCTCTGTGCCCAGTGCAGCTCGTCCCAAATCTTCCTTCTTTCCCTCCTGCCTGTCCCCTCAGTCCCAACCCCAAGCGTCACTGAGTCTTTCTAATCTTCCTTTTCTACAGACCCATCTGACCTCTCCCCTCCTCGCCAGGCCAAACTAGGTCCCAATTATTCCTCAGCCTCCACTCCTCCACCCTGTAATCTTTTTATTGCCTCCCCTCCTCACACCTGGTCCTGCTTACAGTTTCATTCTTTGACTAACCCTCTCCGACCTGCCCAGCAATTTACTCTTAAAAAGGTGGCTGGAGCCAAAGGCATAGTCAAGGTTAATGCTCCTTTTTCTTTATCCCAAATCAGAAGCGTTTAGGCTCTTTTTTATCAAATATAAAAACCCAGCCCAGTTCATGGCTCGTTCGGCAGCAGCCCTGAGACACTTTACAGCCCTAGACCCTAAAAGGTCAAAAGGCCATCTTATTCTCAATATACATTTTATTACCCAATCTGCTCCCGACATTAAATAAAACTCCAAAAATTAGAATCTGGCCCTCAAACCCCACAACAGGACTTAATTAACCTCACCTTCAAGGTGTACAATAATAAAAAAAAAAGTTGCAATTCCTTGCCTCCACTGTGAGACAAACCCCAGCCACATATCCAGCACACAAGAACTTCCAAACGCCTGAACCGCAGCAGCCAGGCATTCCTCCAGAACCTCCTCCCCCAGGAGCTTGCTACAAGTGCCAGAAATCTGACCACCAGGCCAAGGAATGCCTGCAGCCCAGGATTCCTCCTAAGCCGTGTCCCATCTGTGCGGGACCCCACTGGAAATTGGACTGTTCAACTCACCTGGCAGCCACTCCCAGAGCCCCTGGAACTCTGGCCCAAGGCTCTCTGACTGACTCCTTCTTGGCTTAGCGGCTGAAGACTGATGCTGCCTGATCGCCTCAGAAGCCCGGTAGACCATCACAGATGCCGAGCTTTAGGTAACTCTCACAGTGGAGGGTAAGTCCGTTCCCTTCTTAATCAATACGGAGGCTACCCACTCCACATTACCTTCTTTTCAAGGGCCTGTTTCCCTTGCCTCCATAACTATTGTGGGTATTGACAGCCAGGCTTCTAAACCTCTTAAAACTCCCCAACTCTGGTGCCAAATTAGAGGATACTCTTTTATGCACTCTTTTTTAGTTATCCCCACCTGCCCAGTTCCCTTATTAGGCTGAGATATTTTAACCAAATTATCTGCTTCCCTGACTATTCCTGGACTATAGCCACATCTCATTGCTGCCCTTCTTCCCAATCCAAAGCCTCCTTTGCATCCTCCTCTAGTATTCCCCCACCTTAACCCACAAGTATAAGATACCTCTACTCCCTCCTTGGTGACCGATCACGCACCCCTTACCATCTCATTAAAACCTAATCACCCTTACCCCACTCAATGCCAATATCCCATCCCACAGCATGCTGTAAAAGGATTAAAGCCTGTTATCACTTGCGTGCTACAGCATGGGCTTCTAAAACCTATAAACTCTCCTTACCATTCCCCCATTTTACCTGTCCTAAAACCAGACAAGGCTTACAAGTTAGTTCAGAATCTGCGCCTTATCAACCAAATTGTTTTGCCTATCCACCCCGTGCTGCCAAACCCATATACTCTCCTATCCTCAATACCTCCCTCTACTACCCATTATTCTGTTCTAGATCTCAAACATGCTTTCTTTACTATTCCTTTGCACCTTTCATCCCAGCCTCTCTTTGCCTTCACTTAGACTGACCCTGACACCCATTAGGCTCAGCAAATTACCTGGGCTGTACTGCCGCAAGGCTTCACAGACAGCCCCCATTACTTCAGTCAAGCCCAAATTTCATCCTCATCTGTTACCTATCTCGGCATAATTCTCATAAAAACACACGTGCTCTCCCTGCTGATCGTGTCTGATTAATCTCCCAAACCTCCATCCCTTACAAAAGAACAACTCCTTTCCTTCCTAGGCATGGTTAGTGCGGTCAGAATTCTTACACAAGAGCCAGGACCACACCGTGTAGGCTTTCTGTCCAAATAACTTGACCTTACTGTTTTAGCCTAGCCCTCATGTCTGCGTGCAGGGGCTGCCACTGCTTTAATACTGTTAGAGGCCCTAAAAATCACAAACTATGCTCAACTCACTCTCTACATTTCTCATAACTTCCAAAATCTATTGTCTTCCTCATACCTGACGCATATACTTTCTGCTCCCCAGCTCCCTCAGCTGTACTCACTCTTTAAGTCCCACAATTACCATTGTTCCTGGCCCAGGCTTCAATCTGGCCTCTCACATTATTCCTGATACCACACCTGACCCCCATGACTGTATCTCTCTGATCCACCTGATATTCACCCCATCTCCCCATATTTCCTTCTTTCCTGTTCCTCACCCTGATCACGCTTGATTTATTGATGGCAGTTCTACCAGGCCTAATCACCACACACCAGCAAAGGCAGGCTATGCTATAGTACAAGCCACTAGCCCGCCTCTCAGAACCTCTCATTTCCTTTCCATCGTGGAAATCTATCCTCAAGGAAATAACTTCTCAGTGTTCCATCTGCTATTCTACTACTCCTCAGGGATTATTCAGGCCCCCTCCCTTCCCTACACATCAAGCTCGAGGATTTGCCCCCACCCAGGACTGGCAAATTAGCTTTACTCAACATGCCCCGAGTCAGGAAACTAAAATACCTCTTAGTCTAAATAGACACTTTCACTGAATAAGTAAAGGCCTTTCCTACAGGGTCTGAGAAGGCCACCCCAGTCATTTCTTCCCTCCTGTCAGACATAATTCCTCAGTTTAGCCTTCCCACCTCTATACAGTTGGATAACAGACCACCCTTTATTAGTCAAATCAGCCAAGCAGCTTTTCAGGCTCTTAGTATTCAGGGAAACCTTTATATCCCCTATGGTCCTCCATCTTCAAGAAAAGTAGAATGGACTAAAGGTCTTTTAAAAACACACCTCACCAAGCTCAGCCACCAACTTAAAAAGGACTGTACAATACTTTTACCACTTTCCCTTCTCAGAATTCAGGCCTGTCTTCAGAATGCTACAGGGTAAAGCCCATTTAAGCTCCTGTATAGACGCTCCTTTTTATTAGGCCCCAGTCTCATTGCAGACACCAGACCAACTTAGACTGTGCCCCAAAGAACTTGTCATCCCTGCTATCTTCTGTCTAGTCATACTCCTATTCACCGTTCTCAACTACTAATACATGCCCTGCTCTTGTTTACACTGCCGGTTTACATTGTTTTTCCAAGCCATCACAGGTGATATCTCCTGGTGCTATCCCCAAACTGCCACTCTTAACTCTTGAAGTAAATAAATAATCTTTGCTGGCAGGACTCTGCTGAATCTCCTTAGGCACTCTCTAATCAGATATCCTGAGTCATCCCAATTCTTAGACCTTTTATACCTGTTTTTCTCCTTCTCTTATTCCATTTAGTTTCTCAATTCATCCAAAACCGTATCCAGGCCATCAGCAATCATTCTGTACGACAAATGTTTCTTGTAACATCCCCACAATATCACCCCTTACCACAAGACCTCCCTTCAGCTTAATCTCTCCCACTCTAGGTTCCCATGCGGCCCCTAATCCCGCTTGAAGCAGCCCTGAGAAACATCGCCCATTTTCTCTCCATACCACCCCCCCAAAATTTTTGCCACCCCAACACTTCAACACTATTTTGTTTTATTTTTCTTATTAATATAAGAAGGCAGGAATGTCAGGCCTCTGAGCCCAAGCCAAGCCATCGCATCCCCTGTGACTTGCACGGATACGACCAGATGGCCGGAAGTAACTGAAAAATCACAAAAGAAGTGAATATGCCCTGCCCCACCTTAACTGATGACATTCCACCACAACAGAAGTATAAATGGCTGGTCTTTGCCTTAAGTGATGACATTATCTTGTGAAAGTCCTTTTCCTGCTCATCATGGCTCAAAAAGCACCCCCACTGAGCACCTTGTGACCCCTACTCCTGCCCGCCAGAGAACAACCCCCCTTTGACTGTAATTTTCCTATACCTACCCAAATCCTATAAAACGGCCCCACCCCTATCTTCCTTCACTGACTCTTTTCAGACTCAGCCCACCTGCACCCAGGTGAAATAAACAGCCTCGTTGCTCACACAAAGCCTGTTTGGTGGTCTCTTCACACGGAAGTGCATGATAGATAACAAATGCAATCTAGAATGATTAGCTAACAATAAATATTTTAGGCTTTGTGGGCCAATAGGCAACGTTAACAGAAAGGAAAACAAGTTTCTACAATATTTGTATTGATGAAATTCAAAATATAAAAATTGAGTACAATTATTTTAATGAAAATCTAATAAAAATAATGACTCTTATTGTGACTGGATATTTGCTTACTTGGGGTTCAAAGTTAGTGTTCCCTGTATCAAATCAATTGCTAATGTTCATCTGTCAACCATTCTTGACTCAAGGCCTGCATAAAAACAGGAATTGGGCTGGATTTGGCCAGAGTTCTGTAATTTGCTGACCCCCAGTGTAAATGGTTTGATTTGTGAAGCAAATTAATAAATTTGTTTGAATATAAAACTTCATTTGTGTTTAAAGAAGTTTTTTTTTTTTACTCTATAATAGCTTTGAACTCACTTATACTAGGAGGACCATATATTAGATATACAATAAAACAGTAAATCTTTCCTCACCCTTTTTTTATATAATGCACTATTTTTTTTCCTCAAAGTTTTATCTTTCAAGTGTAACCCCACAAGGAGTTTTCTTTGTCAAAAATAATTTTTTGTAGTGTTTAGCATTCCTTTCAGAATTTGTCTAATAATTTTCTGACAGGTTCAAATACCTTTCAAACTACAAGCACAGAGGTTTTTTTGTTTTTTTGTTTTTGCTTTTGTTGTTGTCGTTGTTACTGTTTTTCCTCTCCTGAAAGCTGACTATCTTTATTTTAAAGTCTGGCTTTCAGTACAGGAGATGCAAGGAGACAGAGTAAATGAATGAGAAACACATTATGTGAAGTCACTGGCAGCAATCAAGGACAAGCCACACAAAAAGCCTGCAGGAACCAGATGAAAAGTCCTTACCATTTTTTCATCCTCCATTTCCTCCTTTTACAGGTTACTTCTCTTCATCCACATTGCAAAAAGAAGGCTGCATGAACTAATAGGTGTTAGAAAATAATCTTTGCTTTCATTGTGCTAAATATTGGTTAGAGCAAGCCCTTAGAAATGGCATGATTGATACCATGTAATTTAGATAGAATATCAAATATCATTTCAGAATTCTAATACATCTACTCATATGAAATCAAGTTGGCTTTCTAGAAAAAATAACTAAAGTTGTGGTTTTTTCCTCCTTTCCAGTCTACTATAATCAGAGCTAGCATTTGTACCAGCTACCTTTGATGTGTATTTTGTCCTTTCCTACTTACTCTTGAAATTATTGAGTAATCTGGTCATCAGATATTCAGACTCCTGTTACTAATTCTTCGGGATACAAAGTGATCTTGGGAGCAAAGAAAATAGCTTAGTTCTAAATATAATTGGTCATCCTGGCTAGTCGCTCAGAGATAATCTTATTTTAAAGATTGTCCTGCAAAATTTATCATACTACTGAATACATGTCACCACAATTACACACTGAGCCTCAGGGAAAAGTCTACATTTTTTTGTCTTATGAGCAATTTTAAAATGCAAATCTACCCTAACTTTTATGAGGTACCATACTATATGGTTTTTAGTTATTCTTACTTTTTTTCTCCAAAATTTCAAGTACTTAATATTTTGTTTCTCAGTGCTTTTATACTTATAACATTCAAATAAAATGAACAAATACTCATTCAAATATGAAATGAAAATAAGAACGTCTTTTATTTGTAGGAGGTCATTTGACTTTTGAAGGAAGTAGGGCAAATAGAGAGAAGATCTCTATGGTTTCAAGCTAACGGTAAGAATTAAATAAAGTCTTACTCAAAACAAATGCCACTTTGAAGTAAGTGAATAGAGTAATAAGCAGCTATATTGATATTGGACTGGTTGAACCATTTCTAAAAAGACTAGATCCACAGCATTATTACGGTTTGCACAAAAGCCAATTCCCCCCACATCTCTATCACAATTAAGCAATCGCTTGAATTGAACATTTCTAGATAAACTCATCTTTGAATGCAAGGGCCTGGAGACAAAGATAGAAAAGCAGCCAAGGTGCTTAACAAAGGATCTTTTTCTCTAGATACAAGAATGAATTTAAAAATGACTAGGAGAAATGACATCCAGACTCTACACTCCTCAAGTCTCATCCTCTTACCATTTTTTATTAGATTTATCAAGTAAAACTTTTCAGTGAAACTGGAAAAACTGCCCCAAACACAAGGGCTTTTTTTATTTTTTTATTATACTTTAAGTTCTAGGGTACATGTACACAACGTGCAGGTTTGTTACATATGTATACATGTGCCATGTTGGTGTGCTGCACCCATTAACTCGTCATTTACATTAGGTATATCTCCTAATGCTATCCCTCCCCCTTCCCCCGACCCCACAACAGGCCCCGGTGTGTGATGGTCCCCTTCCTGTGTCCAAGTGTTCTCATTGTTCAATTCCCACCTACGAGTGAGAACATGTGGTGTTTGGTTTTCTGTTTTTGTGATAGTTTGCTGAGAATGATGGTTTCCAGCTTCATCCATGTCCCTACAAAGGACATGAACTCATCCTTTTTTATGGCAGCATAGTATTCCATGGTGTATATGTGCAACATTCTCTTAATCCACTCTATCACTGATGGACATTGGGGTTGGTTCCAAGTCTTTGCTATTGTGAATAGTGCTGCAATAAACATACATGTGCATGTGTCTTTATAGCAGCATGATTTGTAATCCTTTGGGTATATACCCAGTAATGGGATGGCTGGGTCAAATGGTATTTCTAGTTCTAGATTCTTGAGGAATCACCACACTGTCTTCCACAATGGTTGAACTAGTTTACAGTCCCACCAACAGTGTAAAAGTGTTCCTATTTCTCCACATCCTCTTCAGCACCTGTTGTTTCCTGACTTTTTCATGATCGCCATTCTAACTGGTGTGAGATGGTATCTCATTGTGGTTTTGATTTGCATTTCTCTGATGGCCAGTGATGATGAGCATTTTTTCATGTGTTTTTTGTCTGCATAAATGTCTTCTTTTGAGAAGTGTCTGTTCATATCCTTCACCCACTTTTTGATGGGGTTGTTTGTTTTTTTCTTGTAAATTTGTTTGAGTTCTTTGTAGATTCTGGAGATTAGCCCTTTGTCAGATGAGTAGGTTGCAAAAATTTTCTCCCATTCTGTAGGTTGCCTGTTCACTCTGATGGTGGTTTCTTTTGCTGTGCAGAAGCTCTTTAATTTAATTAGATCCCATTTGTCAATTTTGGCTTTTGTTGTCATTGCTTTTGGTGTTTTAGACATGAATTCCTTGCCTATGTCTATGTCCTGAATGGTATTGCCTAGGTTTTCTTCTAGGGTTTTTATGGTTTTAAGTCTAATATTTAAGTCTTTGATCCATCTTGAATTAATTTTTGTATAAAGTCTAAGGAAGGGATCTAGTTCAGCTTTCTACATATGGCTAGCCAATTTTCCCAGCACCATTTATTAAATAGGGAATCCTTTCCCCATTGCTTGTTTCTGTCAGATTTGTCAAAGATCAGATATTTGTAGATATGTGGCATTATTTCTGAGGGCTCTGTTCTGTTCCCTTTGTCTATATCTCTGTTTTGGTACCAGTACCATGCTGTTTTGGTTACTGTAGCCTTGTAGTATAGTTTGAAGTCAGGTAGCGTGATGCCTCCAGCTTTGTTCTTTTGGCTTAGGATTGTCTTGACAATGCAGGCTCTTTTTTGGTTCCATATGAACTTTAAAGTAGTTTTTTCCAATTCTGTGAAGAAAGTCATTGGTAGCTTGATGGGGATGGCATTGAATCTATAAATTACCTTGGGCAGTGTGGCCATTTTCATGATAATGATTCTTCCTATCCATGAGCATGGAATGATCTTCCATTTGTTTGTGTCCTCTTATTTCGTTGAGCAGTGGTTTGTAGTTCTCCTTGAAGAGGTCCTTCACATCCCTTGTAAGTTGTATTCCTAGGCATTTTATTCTCTTTGAAGCAATTGCGAATGGGAGTTCACTCGTGATTTGGCTCTCCGTTTGTCTGTTATTGCTGTATAAGAATGCTTGTGATTTTTGCACATTGATTTTGTATCCTGAGACTTTGCTGAATTTGCTTATCAGCTTAAGGAGATTGTGAGCTGAGATGATGGGGTTTTCTAAATATACAATCATGTTATCTGCAAACAGGGACAATTTGACTTCCTCTTTTCCTAATTCAATATCCTTTATTTCTTTTTCTTGCCTGATTGCCCTGGCCAGAACTTCCAACACTATGTTGAATAGGAGTGGTGAGAGAGGGTATCCCTGTCTTGTGCCGGTTTTCCAAGGGAATGCTTCCAGTTTTTGCCCATTCAGTATGATATTGGCTGAGGGTTTGTCATAAATAACTCTTATTATTTTGAGATACATCCCATCAATACCTAATTTATTGAGAGTTTTTAGCATGAAGGGCTGCTGAATTTTGTCAAAGGCCTTTCCTGCATCTATTGAGATAATCATGTGGTTTTTGTCTTTGGTTCTGTTTATATGCTGGATTACATTTATTGATTTGCATATGTTGAACCAGCCTTGCATCCCAGGGATGAAGCCCACTTGATCATGGTGGATAAGCTTTTTGATGTGCTGCTGGATTCAGTTTGCCAGTATTTTATTGAGGATTTTTGCATCGATGTTCATCAGGGATATTGGCCTAAAATTCTCTTTTTTTGTTGTGTCTCTGCCAGTTTTTGATATCAGGATAAATGATGCTGGCCTCATAAAATGAGTTAGGGAGGTTTCCCTCTTTTTGCAATCTGTCTGGTCCTGGACTTTTTTTGTTTGGTAGGCTATTAATTATTGCCTCAATTTCAGAGCCTTTTATTGGTCTATTCAGGGATTCAACTTCTTCCTGGTTTAGCCTTGGGAGGGTGTATGTGTCGAGGAATTTATCCATTTCTTCTAGATTTTCTAGTTTATTTGCGTAGAGGTGTTTATAGTATTCTCTGATGGTAGTTTGTATTTCTGTGGGATCGGTGGTGATATCCCCTTTATCATTTTTTATTGCATCTATTTGATTCTTCTCTCTTTTTCTTCTTTATTAGTCTTGCTAGCAGTCTATCAATTTTGCTGATCTTTTCAAAAAACCAGTTCCTGGATTCATTGATTTTTGAGGGGTTTTTGTGTCTCTATCTCCTTCAGTTCTGTTCTGATCTCAGTTATTTCTTGCCTTCTGCTAGCTTTTGAATGTGTTTGCTCTTGCTTTTCTAGTTCTTTTAATTGTGATGTTAGGATGTCCATTTTAGATCTTTCCTGCTTTCCCTTGTGGGCATTTAGTGCTATAAATTTCCCTCTACACACTGCTTTGAATGTGTCACAGAGATTTTGGTATGTTGCAAACACAAGTTTTGTTTTGTTTTGTTTTGCTTAGTTTCCTATTTTCTAATTTTAGTGAATACACTGTAGGTGTATATATTTATGGCATACATGAAATGTTTTGAAACAGGCATGCAAAGTGAAATAATTACATCATAGTGAATTGGATATCCATCTCCTCAAGCATTTATCCTTTGAGTTGCAAATAATGATTACACTCTTTTAGTTGTCTTTAAATGTACAACTAAGTTATTGTTTACTATGAGTTACTCAACCTTACATCATTTTTGGAAGTTCCTAGCATTGGTCCAATCTGCCTGACTGTTTCTAAACAATTTTGAGTACCATGCACAGATTAACAAATAGCAGTAAAGAAAAAAAAAGTTGATTTGTTTTACATTCTTCTATGAAGCTCAATCAGAAGAGAATTTTATTTGATTCTGGGCCTTCAACTTGTTGTAACATGCAGTGTGGGATATTTATGTTTAAATTTATGTGGCTTTTTAAATAGGAGAACCAATTTAAACGAATTTTCAAAAAGAGCCTTTAGGAATTATTTGAGGTAGTGTTGTTGGCAATATAAATGAATTTCATTCAGACCCACAAGAAGAAACTTATATCAGCAAGGACACTAAAGTACTATTTATGCCAAATTCTGTGCCTTGTTTTTAAACTTGATATTACTGAGACTTTCTGCAGCATTTCACATTATTGACCACTTGATATAATTTTGCTGCATCCCCACCCAAATCTCATCTTGAATTGTAGTTCCCATAACTCTCACATGTTGTGGGAGGGACCTGGTGGAAGGTAATTGAATTATGGGGGCAGTTACCCCCATGCTGCTGTGACAGTGAGTGAGTTCTCATGAGATCTAATGGTTTTATAAGGGTCTTTGGCGCTTCTCCTTCCTGCAATCATGTGAAGAAGGATGTGTTTGCTTCCCCTTCCACTATGATCGTAAGTTTCCTGAGGCCGCCCAAGCCATGCTGAACTGTGAGTCAATTAAACCTCTTTCCTTTATAAATTACCCAGTCATGGGCATTTCTTTATAGCAGCATAAGAATAAATGAACACAGTAAATTGGTACTAGGAGGTAGTGGGGCTCTGCTGTAAGGATAACTGAAAATGTGGAAGCAACTCTGAAGCTGGGTAACAGACAGAGGTTGTAATAACTTTGACAGCTCAGAAGAGAGAAAAATGTGGGAAAGTTTGGAACTTCCTGGAGACTTGTTGAATGGCTTTCACTAAATGCTGATAGTGATATGGACAATGAAGTCCAGGCTGAGATGATCTCAGATGGAGATGAGGAACTTCTTGGGAACTGAAATAAAGGTGATTCTTGCTATTCTTTAGCAAAAAGACTGGTGGCGTTTTGCCCCTGCCCTAGGGATCTATGGAACTTTGAACTTGAGAGAGATCATTTAGGGTAACTGTTGAAAGAAATTTCTAAGTGGCAAAGCATTCAATAGGAAGCACAGCATAAAAATTTGAAAAATTGTAGCCTGATGATATTGTGTGTGGAATTGGTGGGTTCTTGGTCTTGCTGACTTCAAGAATGAAGCTGCAGACCCCCGCAGTGAGTGTTACAGTTCTTAAGTGCATCTGGAGTTGCTCATTCCTTCCGGTGGGTTTGTGGTCTCGCTGGCCTCAGGAGTGAAGCTGCAGACTTTTGCGGTGAGCGTTACAGTTCATAAAGGTGGCACAGACCAAAAGAGTTAGCAGCAGCAAGATTTATTGCGAAGAGCAAAAGAACAAAGCTTCCACAGTGTGGAAGGGGACCTGAGCAGGTTGCCGCTGCTGGCTCGGGTGGTCTGCTTTTATTCCCTTATCTGGCCCACCCACATCCTGCTGATTGGTCCATATTACAGAGAGCTGATCAGTCCATTTTACAGGGAGCTGATTGGTCCGTTTTACAGAGAGCTGATTGGTGCACTTACAATCCTTTAGCTAGACTCAAAAGTTCTCCAAGTCCCCACCAGATTAGCTAGACACAGAGCACTGACTGATGCATTTACAAACCTTTAGCTAGACACAGAGTGCTGATTGGTGCGTTTACAATCCTTTAGCTAGACAGAAAAGTTCTCCAAGTCCCCACTAGATTAGCTAGACACAGAGCACTGATTGGTGCATTTATAAACCTTGGCTTCACCTTTCAATGGCACTCACCATGGGTCTTTGCGGCACCTAGCCCAGGCACTCTGGCAGCCCAGAGGGAGCTCATCCTCCAGTCAAGCCCAGCAGTCGCCGGCCGGCCGTGCTGAGTGCAGGGCCCACTGAGCCCGTGCCCACCTGGAACCCACACTGGCCTGTGAGCGCCGCACGCAGCCCCGCTCCTGCCCACGCCTCTCCCTCCCCACCTCACGGCAAGCAGAGGGAGCTGGCTCCAGCCTCAGCCAGCCCCAAAGGCCCCCACAGTGCAGCAGCAGGCTGAAGGGCTCCTTGAGTGTGGCCAGAGTGGACGCCGAGGCTGAGGAGGTGCCGAGAGTGAGGGCTGCTAGCACATTGTCACCTCTCAATATGACAGAAAAGAAAAACATTTTCTGGGGATAAATTCAATCCCACTGAAGAAAATTGCATTAATAACAGAGAGTCAAATGTTAACTAGCAAGACAATGGAAAAAATGTTTCCAGAGCATTTCAGAGACCTTCATGGCAGCCCCTCCCATCACAAGCCTGAAGGTCTAGAAGGTAAAAATGCTTTCCTGGACCTAGCCCAGGACCCTCCTGCTTTGCGTAGCCTAGGGACATGATGCTGTGCATCCCAGATGCTTCAGCTCCAGCCATGGCTAAAGGGGGCCAAGGTATAGCTCGGGCCATTGCTTCAGCCCCAAGCCTTGGCAGCTTCCACGTGGTGTTGATCCTGCAGGTGTGCAGAAGACAAGAATTGAGGTTTGGCAACCTCTGCCTAGATTTCAGAGGATGTATGAAAATGCCTGACTGTCCAGGCAGAAGTTTGCTTCAGGGGCAGAGCCCTCATGGTGAATCTCTTCTAGGACAGTGAGGAAGAAAAATGTAGGGTTGGAGCCCCCACACAGAGTCCCCACTGGGGCACTGCCTAGTGGAGCTGTGAGAAGGGGTCCACCATCCTCCAGACCCCAGAATGGTAGACCCACTGACAGCTTGCACTGTGCACCTGAAAAAGCTGCAGACACTCAACACCAGACCATGAAAGCAGCTAGGAAGGGGGCTGTATCCTGAAAAGCCACAGCGGTGAAGCTGCCCAAGGCAGTGGGAGCCCACCTCTTGCATCAGCATGAACTGGATGTGAGACATGAAGTAAAAAAATATCATTTTGTAGCTTTAGGGTTTAATGACTACCCTAATGAATTTCAAATATGCATGGAGCCTGTGACCCCTTTGTTTTGGCCAATTTCTCCCACTTGGAGAAGGTGTATTTGACCAATGCTGTACCTGAATTGTATCTAGGAAGTAACTAACTTGCTTTTGATTTTGCAGGCTCATAGGTGGAAGGGACTTGCCTTGTCTCAGATGAAACTCTGGACTTGGACGTTTGGGTTAATGCTGGAATGAGTTAAGACTTTGGAGGACTGTTGGAAAAGCATGTTTGTGTTTTAAATTGCAAGAACACGAGATTGGGAGGGGCCAGGGATGAAATAATATAGTTTGTCTGCGTCTCCACCCAAATATCATCTTGAATTGTAGTTTCCATAATCCCCACGTGTTATGGGAGAAACTTGGTGAGAGGTAATTGAATCATGGTGGTGGTTACCCCCATGCTGCTGTTCTCATGATAGTGAGTTCTTACAAAATCTGATGGTTTTATATGGGATTTTTCCACCTTTGCTTAACACTTCTCCTTCCCACCGTCATTTGAAGAAGGCTGTTTTTGCTCCCCCTTCTGCCATGATTGTAGGTTTCCTGAGGCTTCCCCAGCTGTGCAGAACTGTGAGTCAATTAAACCTCTTTCCTTATAAATTACCCAGTCTCAAGCAGTTCTTTATCGCAGCATGAGAACAGACTAATATACCACTTCATCTTTTTGAAACTATTTTCTCTTTTAGCTTCTATGTCATTATCTTAGATTTTTACTTCTTTGAATATTTCTTTTCCATTTTTTTTCATTGGCACATTCTCTTTTCCTCACTTTGTGAATATTGGTGTCCTACTTAATCCATGCTGCCTTGCCTTCTCACTCTTCTTACTGGGTATATCCCATATTAGGAATTCCAGGGACTAAGGGAATTTGTCTTGATATGTATAAGCTTAATAATAAGAAAATATGGGTATATATATATAAGAGAATACACACACACACACACATATTCTGTCTTCTATATTCTGTAACAATCTTTCCTAAAAACTCTTGCCTTATAGTTGGCAAAATAAATGGGTAAATAATAGTTGTAGTATATGTGCTGCTATTTCAACTAATCCAGGGTTCACCTAAAGTGCTACAGATAGTGAATTGTTTATATTACATACAAGATAAAATTAAGTGCATTTGACACTCAGATATGTTATGTTCTCATTATGAAGGACAGTCATAAACTCTTCTATGATCAAACAAAAAAAAGCATAGTGAAAAAGATAAATCTTCTGGAGTTATTAGCTAAGCAGGGAAAATGTTTGGTAATCTTTGTAAACAAGTGTATGGTGGAATTTTGTGAAGAGTAATGTTATAATTTTTAGAGAAAATGTTAGAGAGAATCATGGAGAAATTGTTTAGGTTTTTAATTTTTTCTTTTGAATAAAGAAAATAGATGAAACCTTATACTAATAAGTATACGATTCTTTCTTTTGTTTTAGTTTTGATAAGCTTTCTTTCACTAAGCACAATAAAGAAATATAAAGTGGTTAACATGTGAATTGAGTTGGCCTTAGGAGAATCAGACAATTAGAAATGAGTACCAATTCTGATACTAGCATCCTTCAGAGTAATGGGGAAGTAATTAATAGATTCACATTTCTAAAGACAGAAAAGGCTAAAAAAAAAAAAAACAAAGACAGACATGAGAGAAGGCAGTCATTTTATAACCATCATCAGCCACATTCAACACAAAGAAGTATATATTCTAAAGGAACCAATGGTAAGAGTTCAGGAGACATTCACAGCACTTTAAATAGAAATGCCTGAAACAGCCGTGGTGGATGCATGTCCTAGAAATGGATAAGAATAGAGCAAGTGATGATTGACTAATATTTTATGTTTTTTTAACAACGAATAGAAGATCAATGTAGAAGTTTACCAGTAAGATGGCATGCCTTAAGTAATAGAATACTTGCAACACTTGTAATGAGAAAAAAGAGATAGCTCAGGAAACATATATTTATTATTTAAAAAATCATAATATTTCTAGAACTAAAAGTAGAATTTCTCTAAATTTCTATATGATGAATCTCAATAGATTTTTAAGAATAATGGTATTTCTTATTTTAAAATAATTGATTTTCCCATATAATGGCCACAACCAAATTAGAACATTACAAATTACATGACCATATTGAAACATTCTCTGTTTTTGTCATGACTTCTAAAACATTCAGTAATAAAATTACTATGGTTTTCTAAGTATAAGAAAATTTTACATGATCTTAAATACACCTTGTGTGCCTTACAAACAAAGAAAAAATATTAGTAGAGCAAAGACTTTACTATTTTTTTTTAGGAGAAACTAGTGACAATGAATTTAGGATAGTGTTTCTAAAGTTTGGCCCATCTGCCACATGAATCAGAATTACATGGAGTGCTTATTAAATATTCAGACTCCTAAGATCCTTCCCAGATGTACCATATTAAAACCACAAAGGTGTGCCTAGAGAATCTCCATTTTTCACAATTCCATAGGTTACTTATTTTAAAAGCATTAATATATTAGAACAATTGTCCTATTGAAAATCTTTGGCTTTAGCCGAAGCTATCGCCAAGTCAAACCTCTTTTGAATCTGTACCACAGAGGGTTTATAAATATAGATGAAAAAAAAAAGGCATGGCAATATAATACTGAGGAGTTTTTATTTGAAATCAAATTAAGAAAGAGGTTGGACTCCTCTACTTTAAGCAATGTAAAGATTTCTCAGCTAATCAATATTTTCTAGTTTGGTAATAAAAAATTAAACTGGCTTAATTAAATAAAAGTGAGCCTATATTTATATTGCAATTAATGAAATGATCTATCCTTCTAAAATCTTATAGATTTTTTTGCTATATTCTGAATAACCTAATGAGATTGGGGATGGCTTTGAGGGATGTTAAATTAATACTGTATCTGTTAGCAAATATTTGTAAAAGACAGATATCAAATTATGGTCTAAATTTTGACTGCTCTTGAATTGTTATTTCTGGTGAATAGAATTTGGATTGATGATTCTTTTCCTTTTTTGTAAACTTTTTTTTGAAGTGTTTAAGTTCTTAATGAACACATTATTTTCACAAAAACAATTTTAATTTTCTTTTTATTTTGAAGAAGGAAATATATGAAAGTAGTCAAAGTAAAATAAATATTATTCTCATGATTATGCTTTAATTTGACATCGAATTTATTTTTAAGTGATTTTCTGAAAAAGATGAATAGTTTAAAACATTGATTCATTATTTACAAAATAAGCAAAAATGACTTGCATGTTATAATAGTTTTCATTAAATATTACATGCAAATTCAGCATATGGAATACGTATTATTTTATGTTAATTATTCCCAACATAATTTTTTAACAAACAGGAATTTTATGCATATTATATCCAATACTATTAGTATGTTCTTAAGAAAATTTCTAGCATACGTCCTCCAAGATAATTTTTCAAGAATTATCTAATATTTCTCCTTTTAAAAAATTCAGAGATACTTTATTCACATAGTATCTTCCTCCAAGCAGTTTAAAGCTTACAGACGTTCTACCTATTTAAATTCTATATTATGTTCTGCAAAGTAGGATATAGGTAGTTTGTTGTATTTTACCTTTTTTACAGTTTTTTTGGAAAAAGACACATCATATTTCGAATAGAAATTAACTACCAAAGTAAAATAATAAAATCTCAGTCTGCTGAGTCCCAGTTTATTGCTCTACATGATATGCACGCTTTTCACTGCGCCCTCATTTTACTAACTGTTTTACATTTAAAAAATATCTAAATGGAAAAAATCATGCATTAAATAAGGGAATAAAAAATCTGAGTGAATAAATTTCCTTGGTATCTAATCCCTAGACTTTATCTTCCATCTGCTGAATAGAAACCATTGACAGCTGTGACAGATGCCATTGGTTGTTTGCCATACAGATGATTTCTTTACCGTCATATTGTCTTCACCTCTTTGCTTGGTAACTGATTTTGTGTTTAAATCCACCCTCTCATGCACCTTCTCTTCCCTTCCCTTTCTCCTGTGGTGAACACTGAAAAGTCTAAAACAATCATGACATTACTATTTCTTTGATCAACATTTGGTCTAGGCAATAGCATGTGATGCAATCCTGGCCAAGGAGACAGAAGGGTCCGTTGTCTGGGATACTTCATTTAACTGTAGCAGCCATCTTGTGACCACAAGAAGCAGACCAAAAGCCCTAATATGTGTGAAACTGAATAAACTAACCCTGAAAATGCACAGCCTGTAGGTAAGACAATACATGTTCTCATCATTTGAATCATTCTAATTTGATATTTTCTTTCTTGCAATCAATCACATTCATACTGATAATATACCTAAAGGCTTCTTAGTAAGTATACATAGCTCATTCTATACTGACGCCATCATCAATAATATTCTAATTTTCCCAAGGCCCTTACCAAAGCTTTTGTTCAGGTTAAGTTCCATTGACAACTATAACCTCTTTTCAAAAGTTTCCCCACTTATATTAACACTCTCATGCAAACCACTTCAAATACTACAGATACCAGTTTATCAAAGGTGGTATTTGATTCTTCTTCAAATACTTCTGATGATTCCAAATTCTTGTCAAAGAAAACATAAAAAAAGTTTGTGAGTTTAAAAGTACTCTATCTTCTTACCCTTAGTTTAATTAATTTCACTTATATATACAACTCTAAATAGGCTGTTTGAATAATTCTAATTCAGAATCACTTCATAATCATGCTTTTTATTTTCAGGAATTTATTTTTATATAGTCATAGCATTTTTTTAGCTAGAATTTTGTAGAGGTTGAAACTGAGGTTAAGGAAATTTAAACTTACTCAACCTGCACAATTTATCATTGTCTACAACTTCACTATATTCATTTTAACTAGTTATTTTTTAATAAAAATGGAATTATGTTCTATATACTGTTCTGCAATTTACTTTTACCATGCTTCTAAGGATAAGCATTTGACTTGTTTCCAAATGTTTAGTATTTTAAATAATGGGACATTTAATATTTTGCTGACTTGCATAAATTCCAAGTAGTGGGAAGTGCTGAGTTCAAAGGTGTAAACATTTATGATAGCCATAGATACAGCTGAATTGTCCTGTAAATCTGTTAGGAATTTCCCATTTCCTCACATCCTCACCAAGAATCAGAAGACTGATCTTTTTTCTGTTTTTGTCAATATGATAAAAAATTTTCTGTTTACCTTCCATTTTCGGGATTATAAGTGATGCTGTGCATATACGCCACTTGTACTTATTTATTTTGTAGGTAAATTGTCTAATTATTTCACTCATTTTATTTTTCTTTTTTTTTGCTTCTTCATTTTGTTCTTTTACAATTACTTTCATATTGCCCTGGGTACTAGTTATAGACCCATAGAGACACTAGATATTATAACTGTGTGCTAGATAGAAACAAAACCAAACAATACATTTAAAATAAGCTATAAAGAGTCATTTCAATGAAGTTCTGCATATGTTTACAGGAAACAATGCCTTGCAACAATTTTTCAAAAACCTCATAAGTGCTAAGTAATTATTTCCTTAATAACCATATTTTCTTGGATATTTTCATGAATCTATTCTAGATTAAAACTCTTCATTTAATAGACACACAGAAAAATAACAGATAACAGAATTTGGATTTCATGGAAGAATGCTAGTACAATGGAATGATGTGAAACTAACTGATGATAAATCATAATGATATCTTCAGGGATTGGTAAACTACTGTCTGAGTAATATGCCTACTTTTGTAAATACAATTTCATTGGAACACAGCCATGCTGATCCAATTATGTATTATCTATAGCTGCTTTCCCAATATGAAAAGTTGAGAAATTGCAACAGAGCCTATATGGCCTGCAAGGCTGAAAAGATTTATTATCTGGCAAGTTAAAAAAACTGCTGACTGATGCCTTATATTTCAAAATATTTAACAGCTTTTCAAAAATTTTTCAAATATATGCAGTACCTCAACAAAATCTAATACTATTTATATCTACAATGTCACCTTTTACTGCCTAAAACTAGAATGATGCATGTCTCCTTAAACAAACTGGTAAAAGAAATGACAACCATGATCAGATTGAAGCCAATAACAAAGTAATGTTCACTTAATAGAGATGAACTCACTTTTTGGTGCTCTCTCTCTCTCATCTTTCTCTTTATGTGTCTATGTATTTCCTTTTTTCCCAGATAATTTTAGAGTTGTATCTTTGGACAGAATTTAGCCTGCAGCCTTTCTCTGTACTGTGTGAGGATCAATTATCCACGGTAGTTTACTGCAAGAATGGAAAAACCGTGTGACTTCCTGTGATAATACAAATAAAGCAGTAAGATAAAAGCTAGCTTTTCAGTTTATACTATGAAATGAAGTAATTTTCTTTTGGAAGGGTCATGAAGATTTCTAAAATAAACACAAGATTCGTTTATATGAATGAAGAAAGAAAAGAAAAGCTATATGTTAAAATCAGGAGCTTGCAGAAGAACACACAAGCTTGAAAATGCCAGATTTTTCAAGATGCAATAAATATCCAATGGAAAAAACTAGAAATGATATTTAGCTACAGGAATAAAGCTAGAGGTGGTGGAGTGAATATCTGTTAGTGCAAATTGGTACAAAATATACAAATAACCCTTCATATTTAAAGGTTACGTCTGCCCAAATTTGAGGGTTGTTTTGCTAATTTTTGTAAGTATGGGATTTTGATCAGTACTTGATAAACTCTTTGACATGTTTAACCTTTTAGCATTTCTTGCAACATAGTCTTCAGCTTCTGAATTTAGAGGGATGGACTCATCACTACCATTAGCACAATTACTGAGCTTCTGTGTGAGAGGCTAAATGTTGTCATTACCCACATATAAATAATTCCTAAGTCACAGCATGCACAGCAGAAGGATCAGAGAATAGCAAGCATAAATCTTGGTGATGTTATGGGCTCTGTGGCGGGCACCAATTATTATTTTGAAATACTTGTATGATTTCTTCATTTATTAGCTAAACGCGATGTCTATGCTAACTTTGCTAATGTTCTCTATCTTAGAAAATGTGCAACAGTTGCAGTCAGCAGTTTGCCTATACTCCAGTCAATGCTCTTTGAGCTTCTAGTAACAAGGAAACAAACATTTACTACTGTGGAAATTATCTATTTGTATTTTAGTGTGTACTATATATGAACATATAATTTACATGATGGGTTAACTTAATTTCTCCAGGCACACCTAATACAATGACAAATAAATAAGACATCTTAAAATGTAAGAATCCTAAAATTAAGGAAAGGCAATATAAAAATAGACATTGAAATTACCCTATAATTTTAACTTTCTGGTAAACTGTGCATAATTTGGTAAAGAGAGAATCCCTACTAAGGAAATTATGAAGTGAGATCCTACTGGATAATGTGTGCAGAACCACTTATTTGGACTCATTCCTGTCTCTTCAGAAACATTTATCTGGCAATTATCCTCTTCTCTTGCACTTTTAATTACTCTCTCCTTATCAGTTCCTTCCTTGTGCTACAAGTATGCTCCTGTTATTTCATCTTAAAAATGTTTTAAAGTAATCTTCTTAACACTAGTGGATGCTAAAGTTATGCACTTCCCCTCTTCCTTCCACTGCAACACATCTTAGGAGAGAAACCTGCACTGCATTATACCTTTGGCTTCACGTCCATAACCTCCCACACTACTGAATGTGTTTTCTGTAAGGTCTCTGATGATTCCTTACACACAATATTTAATCATTTTTTAAAATGTTTTCACTCTCACTGGGCTCTCTGCAACACTTGCTGCTGCTGTCATTCACAGTACTCCATCTCACTGCAGTACATTCTCCATTCCAGCCACAGGTTGCCACTAACTATTTAAGTATACTCTGTAGGTGCATTTCTTCATAACGTTACCTTACAACCTTACAGTGAATTGTTCCTATTACCCTACCCTGCCATTTCTTCCATTTAATCTCTTTTATGGTTCAGTTCACTGATCTAGGAAATCTTTCCTGATTCTCCCTCATTTTCCTCCTTCATTATAAATCACTTCCTCCTCTTTTTTATCTTTTAAGATGTTTTTAAAGCAGTTTTAGGTTTGCTGGAAAACTGAGAAGAAGGTAGAGATATTTCTCACGTACCCCTTCTTTCAAACATGCAAAGCCTCCCCCATTATCAATATCCCCCACCAGAGTGGTACATTTGTTACAATTGATGAAGCTACATTGACACATTATAAATACCCAAAGTTCATAGTTTACCTTAGACTTCACTCTTGGTATTATACATTTTACAGATTTGGAAAATTATATAATGACATGTATCCCTCTTTATAGGATCATACAGATTTTCACTCCCCTAAAAATCTTCTGTGCTCTGTTTATTCATTCTTCTCCATCCAAAACCCCTAAAGCACTAATTTTTTTACTGTCTTCATAGTTTTGCCTCTTCTAAAACATCATGTAGTTGGAATCAGATAGTATGTAGCCTTCTAATATTGGCTTCTTTCACTTAGCAATGTGCATTTAAGAATTACTCTACGTATTTTTATGGTTTGATAGCTCATTTCTTTTTAGTAATAATAATATTCTGTGTCTTGATGTACTACACTTTATTCGGTCACCTCCTGAAGGACATCCTCATTTCTTCAATCTTTTGGCAGCCATGAATAAAGCTGTTATAAACATCCTTGTGCAAGACTTTTTGTGGACATATGTTTGCAACTCATTGAGATCAATACCAATGAGCATGATTGCTGGATAGTATGGTAAGAATATGTTTAGTTTTATAAAAAACTGTCCACCAATAGGGCTGTAACATTTTTTATTCCGAACAGTAACAAATGACAGTTCCTGTTGTTTCACATCCTCACTAGTATTTTATATTGTCAGTGTTTCAGATTTTGGTCACATTGATAGGTATGTAATGGTATCTCATTGTTTTTATAATTTTTATTCCCTTAATGTCATATGATTTGGAACATGATTTCATATGCTTGTTGCCATCTGTATATGTTATCTGGTGAACTGTCAAAGTCCAGCTTGTTTTTCAATCAGGTTGTTTGTTTTTCTTATTTTTGAGTTCTAAGAGTTCTTTGCATAGTTTGAAAAACAGTCCTTAATCAGATATGTCATTTGCAAATATCTTCTCTCAGTATGTAGTTTGACTTCTCATTCTCTTGACATTGTCTATCATAGAGCAGAAGTTTTAAATTGTAATGATTCCAAGAGTTTACTAATTCTTTCTTTTTTGGATTGTGCCTTTAGTGTTGTATATAAAAAGTCATCACCATACCCAAGGTCAAATAGGTTTCTTCTATGTTATCTTCTAGGAGTTTCATAGTTTTGCATTTTACTTTTGAGTCTATGATTCATTTTGAGTTCAATTTTTCATGTGGCTATCTAGTTGTTCCAGACTCATTTGTTGAAAGACAGCCCTTGCTCTATTGTATTGCATTGGCTCCTTTGCCATAGTTCAGTTGACTATATTTATGTGCATATATTTCTGGGCTTTATCTTCTTTGCCATTGATCTATTTCTCTATTCTTTGCCCAATACCATATTGTCTTGATTATTGTATCTTTACAATGAGTCTTGAAATGAGGTAGTGTCAGTCTTACAAATTTGTTATTTTCCTTCAATATTTTGTCAACTATTACTGAGTCCTTTGCCTCATCATATACACTTTAAAATAAGTTTGTTGATACCCACGAAATAACTTGCTAAGATTTTGATTAGGATTGTATTGAATCCCAATTCAAGTTGGGAATAAGTGACATTTTGACAACATTGAGCCTTTCTATCCAAAAACATGAAGTATCTCTCCATTTATTTAGTTCTTTGATTTCATTCAAATGAGTTTTTAAAGATTTTTCTTATATAGATCTTCCATATAGTTTTAAATGTACACCTAAGAGTTTGTTATTTTGGCTGTGAATATAAATGACACTATGATTTTAATTTCAGATTCTACTTTCATTGCTAGCATATAAGAAAGCGACTGACTTTTGTACATTAACCCTTTATTGTGAAACCTTGCTATAATTGATTATTAGTCCTAATTTTTTTTGGTCAATTGTTTCAGATTTTCTACATAGATGATTATATTATCTGTTAACAAAGACAGTTTTATTTTTCTTCTCAATCCATATACATTTTATTTCCTTTACTTGTTTTATTGCATTATCAAGAACTTTCAGAAAAACAATGAAAAGGGGTGGTAAGATGAGACATCTTGCCTTGTTCTTGATATTAGTGGGAAAGCTTCCAGTTTATCATCATTAATATGATGTTATCTGTGGATATTTTTGAGACATTCTTTATCAAATTGATAAAATTATCCTCTATTCTGAGTTTACCAAATTTTTTTTTTATCATGAATGGTTGTTGGATTTTGTCAAATGCATTTTCTGAATCTATATGTATTTCCATGTGATTTTATTTTTTAGCCTGTTCATATGATAGATTACATTAATTGATTTTCAGATGTTGAACCAGCCTTGCTAAACTGAAAATAAATCCCACTTGATTGTGGTACATACTTCTATTTTTATATATAGTTAGATTCAATTTGCTAGTATTTTGTTGAGAATTTTTGCACGTGTGTTTATGAGAGGCATTGGTCTGTCGTTTTATTGACTTCTTCTTTTCAATTACATCTCTGTCTGCTCTTACTATTATTGTAGTAACCATTGTATGGTTTCTATTATTTTAAATAATATTTTAAATGTATTAAGATATCTTTTATGGCCAGAATGTACCCTATCTTGATGAATGTTCCATGTGAGCTTGAGAATATTGTGTTCTGTTTTAAAATAAAGTAGTTTATAGATGTCTATTATTTCCAGTTGAATGATGGTATTGTGAGTTCAACTATGTTTCTAATCATTTTGTGCCTGCTGGATCTGTTCATTTCTGATAGAGATTTGTTGAAATCTCCAACTATCTTAGTGAATTTATCCATTTCTCCTTGCAGTTCTAATAGTTTTTGCCTCACTTAACTTGACATTCTGTTGTGAGGTGCATATATGTTAACAATTGTTATTTCTCCTTGGAAAGTTGACACCTTTATTATACAGTGCCCTTCTTTATCCCTAATAATTTTCCTTCATTTGAAGGAAATACTCTGTTGGAAATTAATGTAGCTACTCCTACTTTCCTTTGATTAGTGTTAGCATAGTGTATTTTTCTCCATTCTTTGATTAGTGTTAGCATAGCACATTTTTCTCCATCCATTCATTTTCTCTATGGGTCTTTATATTTAATGTGGGCTTCTCATAGAAAACATATAGTCTGGACTTATTTTTGATCCACTCTAAAAATCTCTATCTTTTAATTGGTGCCTTTTGACCACTGAAATTCATAGTGGTCATTGCTATAGTTGTGTATTAACCAACTAAAGATACATATTAGTACCATATATGTTACTGTTTTTCATTTGTTGCCATTATTCTCTGTTACTATTTTTTTTTTTCATTTGTTTGTTTTGAGACAGAGTCTCACTCTGTCACCCAGGCTGGAGTGCAGCTGCATGATCTCGGCTCACTGCAACCTCCGCCTCCTGGGTTCAAGCAATTCTCCTGCCTCAGCCTCCCGAGTAGCTGAGACCACAGGTGGCCACCACCACACTAGGCTAATTTTTGTATTTTTAGTAGATACGAGGTTTCACAGTGTATAAGTATTCCCTTTTCTCTGTGGCTTTGAGTTATAGTGCTACTATCCCACATACAAACTTCCATTTTGGCAATTATCAAAGTGCTTTTTGTTTCTGTTTCAACTTTTACTTTAGATACAGGGTGTACATGTGCAGATTTGTTACTTAGGAATATTGAATTATGCAGAGATTTGTATTATGGATCCTGTCACCCTCTTAAGGCCATAGCATCCAATTGGTAATTTTTTAAACGACTCCTCCCTCCACTTTCTACTACTACTTCTGTATAGTATTTAAGGTCTTATATTTTAATTAACTATGAGAAAGTGGGAAGCTGGATGTCAGGCTGTGGCCTCACCAACTCTCCCTCTCTCCTCAAAACTTGCATGCCAGCCAGAAAGAGAAGAATTTTATTCTGAGTTTTCAACACCCATAAATGAAGCCTTTGTTTTCCCCAGATGGTCCACAGTGTTAATTGTTCCTACATTTATGTTCATGTGTGCTCAAAGCTTAGTTCCCATTTATAAGTGAGGACATGGGAGTTTTTGGTTTTCTGTTCATACATCACTTTGCTTAGCGTTATAGCTTCCAGCTCCATCCATGTTCTTGCACATAACATGATTTCACTATTTTTATGGCTGAATAGTATTTCACAGTTTATATGTACCAAGTTTTATCTATCTTACCTACCATTGAGGAACACCTGGATTGATTCCATGTCTTTGCTATTCTGAATAGCGTAGTGATAAACATATCAGTGCATGTGTCATTTTGGTAGAAAGATTTATTTTCTTTTGGAAATATACTCAGTAATGGGATTGCTGGATCAAATGGTTGCTCTGTTTTAATTTTTGGGAGAAATATCCAAATTGCTTTCCAAAGTGGCTGGACTCATTTGCATTTTCACCAATATTGTATAAGCATTCCATTTTCTTCACAACCTTGGCAGTATCTGTTGATTTTTAACATTTTAGTAATAGCTATTTTAACTGGTGTCAGATAATATCTCATTGTCGTTTTGACTTGCATTTCTATCATGATTAGTGATGCTGAACTTTTTTTATATATTTGTTGGCCACTTGCATGTCTTCTATTGAAAAGTGTCTGCTCATGTTTTTTGCCCATTTTTAAATGTCGTTATTTGGTTTTTGCTTGTTGATTTGTTTAAGTTCTCTGCAGATTATGGATGTGAGGCCTTTGTAAAATGCATAGTTTATAAATATATTCTCTTATTCTGTAGGTTGTCTGTTTGCTCTGTTGTTTCTTTTGCTATGCAGAAGCTGTTTAGTTTAATTAAGTCCCAGTCTATTTTTATTCTTGTTGCAATTGCTTTTGGGGACAGCCAAAAATTATTTGCCAAGGCTGATGTCGACAAGAGTATTTCCTAGTTTGTCTTTAAGGATTTTTGTATTTGGAGGTATTACATTTAAAGTTTTATTCCATATTGAGTTAAATTTTGTATATGATAAAAATAGGGGTCGAGCTTCAATCTCCTAACCTGTTATCCCAGCACCATTTATTGAATGGGGAGTTATTTCCATATTACTTATCTTTGTTGGCCTTGTCAAAGATCAGATGGTTGTAAGTGTGCAGCTTTATTTTTGAGGTTTCTATCTTTTTTTTTTTCCATTCATCTATGTGTCTGCTTTTATACCAGTACCAAGCTGTTTTCGTTACTGTGGTTTTATAAAATACTTAAAGTTGGGTAATGTGATGCCTCTGACTTTGTTCATTTCACTTAGGATTCTTTTGTCTATTTGGATTTTTTGTTTCATATGCATTTTAGAACAGTTTTCTCTAATTCCTTAAAGAAGGACATTGGTAGGTTTGTAGGAATAACATTGAATCTGTAAATTGCTTTGGTCCATATGACAATTTTTTATAATATTGATTCTTCAATCTACGAGGATGGAATGTTTCTCTATTTAGTTGTATCATCTCTGATTTTTTCAGCAGGGTTTTGTAGCTCCCTTGTAGAGATCTTTAACTTCCTTAGTTTGCTATATTACTAGGTATTTAATTTTCTTTGTCACTTTCATAGGTGAGATTGTGTTCTTGATTTCACTCTCAGCCTGGATGTTTTTGGTGTACAAAAATGATAATTAGATTTGTACATTGATTTTGTGTCCTGAAATTTTACTAAAGTCAATTATCAATTTTAGGAATATTTTGGCAGAGTCTTTAGGATTTTCTAGGTATATAATTATATCATCTGCAGATAAATAGTTTAACTTCATATTTTCCAGTTTGGATGTCTTTCATTTATTTATCTTGCCTGATTGTTCTGGCTAGGACTTTTAGTATTATGTTGAATAGGTGTGGCAAAAGTGAGTATCCTTATCTTGTTTCAGTTCTTAAGGGAAATTGTTCAAGTTTTTGTCCGTTCAATGTGACGTTAATTGTGTATTTGTCATAGATGGCTCTCATTATTTTGAGATATGTTCCTTTGATGCCTAATATGTTGAGAGTTTTTATCATGAATTGATTTTGAATTTTATCAAAAGAAGTTTCTTTGTCTTTTGAAATAATCATATGGTTTTTATATTTAATTTTGTTTATGTGGTGAATCACATTTATTGATTTGCATAGATTGAACTAGCCTTGCATCCCAAGAATAAAGCTTACTTGCCTGTGGTATGTAAACTCTTTGATGGGTTACTGTATTCCATTTGCTGGTATTTTCTTAAATATTTTTGCATTTATGTTAATGACAGATATTGGTCTGAAGTTTTTTTGTTGTTTTGTTTTGTTCTTTTGTTTATTTTAGTGGCTCTGTCATATTTTGGTATCAGGATAACGCTGGCTTCACAGAATTAGTTAAGGAAAAACCCCTACTCCTCATTTTGTTTTGGAATTATTTCACTAGGTTTTGTGTCTATTTTTCTTTGTTCTACTGTTAGAATTTAGCTGTGAATCTATCTGGTTCAGGGTTTTTTTTGTTGTTGTTGTTGTTGTTGTTTTGGTTAATAAGTTCTTTATTACTGCTTGCATTTCAGAAGTTTACATTGTTCTATTCAGGGTTTCAATCTCTTCCCGAAAAAATCTTGGCAGTGTGTGTGGTTCTAGGAATGTATCCATCTCTTCTAGATTTTCCAATTTGTGTGCATAGAATTGTTCCTAGCAGTCTCTGAGGATCTTTTGCATTTCTGTGAACTCAGTTGTAATATTACCTTTGTCAATGCTGATTGTGCTTTGTATCTTGTCTTTCTTTTTCTTTGTTCATCTTGTTATGGGTCTATAATCTTGTGTATTTCTCCAAATAACCAACTATTGGTTTCAATGATCTTTCGTATGAATTTTGGCATCTCTATTTCATTCAGTTTTTCTCTAATTTTAATGTTTCTTTTTCTACTACCTTTGGGTTGGTTTGTACTTTTTTTTCCTAATTCCTTTAGGTGCAAACTTACACTGGTAATTTGAAACTTTTCCAACTACTTGAGGAAAGTGTTTAGTCTGTAAACTTTTGTCTTAACACTGCTTTGGCTACATCCCAGAGATTTCAGTCAATTGTGTCCCTATTTGCATTAATTTTATAGAATATTTTTTATTTCTTAATGAATTTTGTTCACCGAGGAGTTTTTGAGGAGTAAGTAGTTTAATTTCTATGTACTTATGTAGTTTTGAGAGATCTTATTGATATTGATTTCCATTTTTATTGCACAGTGGTTCAAGAGTATACTTGGTATAATTTCAGTTTTTTTTAAATTTATTGAAGTTTGCTTTATGACAGAGCATGAGGTTAGTCTTAGAATATGTTCCATGTGCAGATGAGAAGAAAATATATTCTATGGTTGTTGGGTGGTGTGTTCTGTATATTTCTATTAGGTTCAATTTATCTACTTTCCTATTTGAATCTAAAGTTCCTTTGGTAGTTTTATGCCTCGGTGATTTGTTTAACACTGTCAGTGGGGCATTAAAGTCTCCCACTACTGTTGTGTGGTTATTTCATACCTTTTGTAGCCAAAGGCTCCAAGAAATTTGGGATTATGTTAAATGACCAAACATAAGAATAATTGGTGTTCCTGAGGAAGAAGAGAAATATAGAAGTTTGGAAAATGTATTTGGGGGAATTATTGAGGAAATCTTCTCTGGCCTTGCTAGAGATCTAGACATCCAAATACAAGAAGCTCAAAGAACACCTGAAAAATTTATTGCAAAAAGGTTATCATCTAGGTACATCATCAGGTTATCTAAAGTCAAGATGAAGGAGAGAATCTTAAGAGTGTAAAACAAAAGCACCAGGTAACCTATGAAGGAAAACCTATCAGATTAACAGCAGATTCCTCAGCAGAAACCCTACAAGCTAGAAGGGATTGCGGTTCTATCTTCAACCTCCTTAAACAAAACAATTATCAGCCAAGAATTTTGTATCCAGTGAAACTAACTTGATAAATGAAGGAAAGACACAGTTTGTTTTAGACAAACAAATGCTGAGAGAATTCGCCCCTACCAAGCCAGCACTGCAAGAACTGCTAAGAGGAGATCTAAATCTTGAAACAAATTCTAAAAACACATTAAAACAGAACCTCCTTAAAGCATTAATCTCACAATATCTATAAAATAAAAATACAATAAATAAACTTTTAAAAACCCACGGTATTCAGGCAACAAATAGCACGATGAATGGAATAGTATCTAACATCTCAATACTGCCTTTGAATGTAAATGGCCTAAATGCTCCACTTAAAAGATACAGAATGGCAGAATAGATAAGAATTCACCAACCAAGTATCTTCTGCTTTCAAGAGATTCACTAACACATAAGGACACAAATAAACTTAACATAAAGGGGTGGAAAAAGACATTCCATGCAAATGGACACCAAAAGTGAGCAAGAGTAGCTATTCTTATATCAGACAGAAAAACTTTAAAGAAACCACATTTAAAAAAAAAAGAGGGACATTGTTTAATGATAAAAGGCCTTGTCCAACAGGAAAATATTACAATCCTAAATGTATATGTACCTAACACTGGAGATCCCAAATTTATAAACAATTACTACCAGACATAAGAAATGAGTTAGATAGCAACAAAATAATAGTGAAGGACTTCAGTACCCCACTAACAGCATTAGACAGGTCATCAAGGTAGAAAGTTAACAAAAAACAATGGATTTAAACTATTCCCTAGAACAAATAGACTTAACAGATATTTACAGAACATTTCACCCACCAACCGAAGAATACACATTCTACAAGTAAGTGTATGGAACTTTCTCTAAGACAGACCATATGGTAGACCACAAAACAAGTCACAATAAATTTTAAAAAATGAAATTATATTAAGTACTCTCTCAGACCACAGTGGAATGAAATTGGAGATCAATTTCAAAAGGAATCTTCAAAACAACGTAAATACATGGAAATTAAATAACCTGTTCCTGAATGATCTTTGGGTTAACTATGGAATCAAGAGGGAAATTAAAAAATTATTTGAACTGAATTATAATAGTGACACAACCTATAAAAACCTCTGAGATATAGAAGTCAGTGCTAAAAGGGCAGTTTACAGCATTAAATGCCTACATCAAAAAAGCTGAAAGAGCACAAATAGACAATCTAAGGTCATACCTCAAGGAACTAGAGAAACAAGAACAAACCAAACCCAGACCCAGCAGAAGAAAAGAAATCACCAAAATCAGAGAAGAACTAAATGAAATTGAAACAAACAAACAAATACAAAAGATAGATGAAAGAAAAAGATGGTTCTTGGAAAAAATAAATAAAATTGTTATACCATTAGCAAGATTAACCAAGAAAAGAAGAGGGAAGATCAAAATAAGCTCAATTTAAAACAAAATGGGATAGATACTGGGGACTACAAAATGGGGGAGGAGAGGGGTGAGTGTTAAAAGCATACCTACTGAATACAATGTTTATTATTTTGGTGACTGGTATGCTAGAAACCCAATATCCACCATTATGCAATATATCCATGTAAGGAACATGCAAATGTACTCCCTGAATGTAAAATTTTAAAATAAAAATTATTAATTTTTTAAAAATTCAAAAACTAATAAAAAAATTGATATGCTCTGTGCTCAGATTTTTCCATCTCTGCAGTAGGTTTTTTTTTTTTTTGGTATGTGGTTTATTATCTTATGTTGTTTTATTTAAACGTATTCCCTTTTCTCTGTCCTGTGACTCTTACTGATCAAATGTTGGACTTCATGCAGTTATCATATATGAGTCTTTTCTCTCATATTTTCTGTCTCTTTGCCCTTATGCTTAACATTTTAAGGGATTCCCACAACGTTATTTTTCCCACAACCTTATTTTTCATCTTTTATATTAAAGTTTTATTCTGGAAATTCTATTTGTAAGAGGTAAAATATTTTTCTAATTTCTGACATTTTTAAACAACATTTAAAATTCTTATCAAAATGCTCTCCATATGGACTTTTTTATTAAAGTTTTCTTACATTTTCTGTTTCGCCTGAGTATACTTTTTAATTATTTCAACTTTTATTTTCATGCAGAAGGTTTGTTTTTTATTCCTAGTGATCTGTGATTGTCTGTTTATATTTAGAAGAAAATTCTAGGTAGCTGGTATGGTTTCCCTCTATTCTTTTTTAAGTCTGATTTTTCATATGAGCATGACATCAAACTGGTAGCTTATTTAATGAGTATAGTATATAAGGTCTTATATTTTAATTAACTATGAGAAAGTGGGAAGCTGGATGTCAGGCTGTGGCCTCACCAACACTCCCTCTCCCCTCAAAACTTGCATGCCAGCCAGAATGAGAAGAATTTTATTCTGAATTTTCAACACCCATAAATGAAGCTATTGTTTTCCCCAGATAGTTCAATTTTTTTTAGAAAGAAATGCTATGCTTTTTTACCTGGGGATAACTAGGCTAACAGTTCTCTGCACATTTAGAGAAAACTATGGAGTCATAGGCTGCCTCAGCTGTTCCATATGCAGTTTCAATCAATTCACCAGATTTCAACACCACTTTTTATTATTGATCTCTGTCATATCTGCCACTGATCATGAAGGCACTCTGGAATTCTTTCATTTTTTTTTTTTATGTATCTGATCTGTTAGTAAAACTGTCTTCCCTTTTTTGTACAGAAGAAACTCTATTCTTTATTGTATTTCTAATTTAGGATAAAAAGATTTAAACACAAGTCCGCTTATTGAACCAGAAGCCCTTTAATAGTCTCTAAAAAATTTTGGTGAATGAACAATTTATGGATGGAAATGCTGCAATTTTTTTCTTCTTCAAAGTTTTTACTACCTAGGGTTCATTTTTGTATGTTTTCTTTAGTATCTATCAACTTTTTACACTATCCTTGAATACAGTTTTATGCTTTTGTTTATATACATAAAACACATATTTATATTTTATAACCATCTTAAGCGTTCGTGCTCCAAAAGACAGAAGTTTCACAGGGGATTTCACACATTTTTGAATCTGGAAAAGGCTATGTGATTTAAATGTGAAAGCCTTTTATTCAAATAAAGTTGCCAACCTATTAAGAAAAAAAAAAAAGTGGCCGGGCATGGGGGCTCACGCCTGTAATCCCAGCACTTTGGGAGGGTGAAGAGGGCGGATCACCTGAGGTCAGGGGTTCGAGACCAGGCTAGCCAACAAGGTAAAACCCTGTCTCTACTAAAAATACAAAAAATTAGCCGGGTGTGGTGGTGGGAGCCTGTGATCCCAGCTACTCAGGAGGCCGAGGCAGGAGAATTGCTTGAACCAGGGAGGCGGAGATTGCAGTGAGATCGCACCACTGCACTCCAGCCTGGGCGACAGAGCGAGACTCGGTCTCAAAAATAAATAAAAAGTAACTTTTTATAATGATATGGTAAAGTAATTATGTAAAAAATGAAATGGGCTTGTCAAAAGAATGAATCATTGATTTCTGGTAATGATACAGTTAGATAAATTATGGAAGGTAGTGAGGGAATGTCTAGAAAAAATAGTTTTCAAAATTTTATTTTTAGCAAGAAGGAGAATGGGAACTGGTTTGTTGGGTATCTTGAAATCTTACTTCTGCTCAATACGAGCCATGGTCACAGAAATATTTTTTCAAAAAATAAGAAACATTTGATTAATAAAGAGCTAAGAAAATTGATGAAGTTTTTAATCCTCCCAAAGAAAGTGTTTTATAGCCATTATGTGCTTAAATTTTTAAAATGACAGCTTCATTTATAGGTGCATAATTTTTCAGCTTTAAAAGCATCGCGTAGATGGAGGTACATTGAAATTTGATGGAAGGTGAGTATGCTCAAACATAGCCAAATACATGTTTATGCTGGAATCAGGTGCTGTACACTTTCAACCCCTGTTTTGTGATACCTTCAGGGTCTGATACAATTCACCATTAAAAGGGATTTCACCCTGCTTAAATGCCATATTTTTGGAATTATAAATATCATAATTAGAAAAATAAGTAGAGATTGTTTATTCCTTCTCAAAGTAATGGGTAGATTATAATGACATGTATTGTTTTATTCTTACAGAGAGAATCTGCAACATGAAGATTAAGTGATGAGCCATAGCATAATTGCCCTTAGAGGAAGTCACTGTCAGGAGTGAGATTGAACAATTATTCTCCTTCTTCTTAGACCACACTTCAAAAGTGTCTTCTGAATAGAAATGAAAAAATAGAGATATCTGAGTTTATAGTCAGAAAAAGAAAGGAATTTAAAGTAAAATATTAATCACTGTATATTTTACTATAAGTCTGTGGAAGTCATAAGATTCTTCTATTGCTGGAAGAGTTTAAAGAGTAATGTGAATAATTGAGAGTGCTAAGTAACAGAAATTTTGATTTCCTTTAAATTAAAGTAAGAGGTTGAAACATACCTTATTTTATTGATTCCAAGACACGTTTTTTATACTTTTATTATCTCCGAAATAGGAATATATTTACAGTCAATGAGATTCCAATTATAATTGGCAATGCTTTCTTATTCTTAGCAGTACATAAAATGGTGGTGCATATTATAGTCAATATTGTTTTAGAGATAATTAAATATAGTAATTTACACTACGTGAACCGCGAGTTATATATATCTATGAAACCAAAAGTTTGTGATTTAAGAGATACAAAGTTTAAGCGGCATCGAGAGCATTATGAATTTTCCTAGTGCAGCAGTTTACTTGCTCTGCCACATCTCAGACCTTTAAAAACTAACCATTTATTTTAAATATTTGTATTTTGTCTTATCTCTTCTATAAAACTTCAACCCCCAAATAAATTGTTACGTTATTATATAATATAATATGTATATTTTCAGAGCCAATTAAAATGAAATATTTAAATGCAACCTAACCTTTTTAAAGCATTTCTAAATAACAACAAAATATTAGTCTTCTTCTGGCACTTTTGACCTATACATGGTTGTTGCCTTAGAATGTGTTACTTAGAAGCTTCTTGTTTTCTATTAAATGAACAGCTTTATCTCACAGAGGCATGATATTCTGATTATATTGTTCATTTTCACAATTCATTATAACACTTGAATTCCAGTTAGAATATTAAGAAATTGTTTTTGTCATATTCTGAATTTTCATTCTACTGCCTGCTCTATCAGAAAATATTTTCACCCCACTCAGCAAATTAACATTCCTCAATTATTGAATAAAAACACCTGCAATTTTTTTATTTTTTTATTTAATTTTATTTTATTGTAAGTTCTGGGATACATATGCAGGACGTGCAGGTTTTTTACATAGGTAAACATGTGCCATTGTGGTTTGCTGCACCTATCAACCCATCATCTAGGCATTAAGCTCCATATGCATTAGCTATTTATCCTGATGCTCTCCCTCCCCCCGCCTCCAACAGGCCCCAGTGTGAGTGTGTTACGCCCCTAACTGTGTCCATCTGTTCTCATTGTTCAGCTTCCACTTATAAGTGAGAACATGTGGTGTTTGGTTTTGTGCTCCTGTGTTAGTTTGCTGACAATTATGGCTTCCAGCTCCATCTATGTCCCTGCAAAAAGTATGATGTTGTTTCTCTTTATGGCTGCATAGTATTCCATTGTGAATATGTACCACATTTTCATTATCCATTCTATCACTGATGGGCATTTGGGTTGATTCCATGTCTTTTCTATTGGGATTAATGCTGCAATGAAGATATGCATGCATGTATCTTTATAATAGAATGATTTATATACCTTTGACAATATACCCAGTAATGGGGTTGCTGGGTCAAATGGTATTTCTAGTTCTAGGACTTTGAGGAATTGCCACGGTGTCTACCACAATGGTTTAAATAATTTACATTCCCACCAACAGTGTCAAAGTCTTCCTATTTCTCCATAGACTTGCCAGCATCTGTTTGTTTCTTGACTTTTTAGTGATTGCCATTCTGACTGGTGTGAGATGGTATCACATTGTAGTTTTGATTTGCATTTCTCTAATGATCACAGATGTTGAGCTTTTTTGATACGTTTGTTGGCTACATAAATGTCTTCTTTTGAGAAGTGTTTGTTCGTGTTCTTTGCCCACTTTTTAATGGGGTTGCTTGTTTTCTTCTTGTAAATTTGTTTAAGGTCTTTGCAGATTGTGGATATTAGACCTTTGTCAGATGGATACATTGCAAAAACTTTCTCCCATTCTGTAGGTTGTCTGTTCACTCTGATGGCAGTTTCTTTTGCTCTGTAGAAGCTCATTAGTTTAATTAGATGCCATTTGCCATTTTTTGCTTTTGTTGCAATTGCTTTTGACGTTTTTTTGGTGAAATGTTTGCTTGTACCTATGTCCTAAATGCTATTGCCTAGATTTTTGTCTAGGGTTTTTATAGTTTTGGGTTTTACATATAAGTCTTTAATCCACCTTGATTTATTTTTTACAAGGTATAAGGAAGGGGTCCAGTTTCTATTTTCTGCATAAGGCTAGCCAATTTTCCCACCACCATTTATTAAATAGGGAATCCTTTCCCCATTGCTTGTTTTTGTCAGGTTTCTCGAAGATCAGAGGTTGTAGATGTGTGGTCTTATTTCTGAGTTCTGTATTCTGTTTCATTGGTCTATGTGTCTTTTTTGTACCTGTACATGGTGCAAAAGTACCATGCTGTTTTGGTTACTGTAGCCTTGTAGTATAGTTTGAAGTTGAGTAGCGTGGTGTCTCTAGGTTGATTCTTTTTGCTTAGGATTGTCTTCACTTACATGGACTCCTTTTTGGTTCAATATAAACTTTAAAGTACTTTTTTCTAATTTTGTGAAGAATGTCAATGGTAGTTTAATGAGAATAGCTTTGAATCTATAAATTACTTGGGCAGTATAGCCATTTTCACAATATTGATTCTTCCTATCTATGAGCATGGACTGTTTTTCCATTTGTTTGTGTCTTCTCTAATTTCCTCGAGAAGTGGTTTCTAGTTCTCTTTTAACAGGTCTTTAACTTTCCCTGTCAGCTGTATTCCTAGATTTTTTATTCTCTTTTTAATAGTTGGAATGGGAGTTCCTTTATGATTTGACTCTTTGCTTGTCTATCATTGGAGTATAGGAATGCTTGTGATTTTTGCACATTGATTTTGTATCCTGATACTGCTGAAGTTGCTTAGCAGCTTAAGAAGCTTTTGGGCTGAGACTATAGGATTTTCTAAATAAAGGATCATGTCATCTGCAGAGACAGTTTGACTTCCTCTCTTACTATTTGAACATTTATTTCTTTCTCTTGCCTGATTGCCCTGCCCAGAATTTTCAATACTATGTTGAATAGGAGTGGTGACAGAGGGCATCCTTGTCTTGTGCCGGTTTTCAAAGGGAATGGTTCCAGCTTTTGCCCATTCAGCATGATATTGGTTGTGGGTTTGCCAAAAATTGCTCTTATTATTTTGAGGCATGTACCATCAATACCTAGTTTATACAGAATTTTTAACATGAAGGGATGTTAAATTATATCAAAAGCCCTTTTTGAATCTACTGAGATAATCACGTGGTTTGTGTCTTTAGATCTGTTTATTTGGTGAATTACATTTATTGATTTGTGTATGTTGTGCCAGTCTTGCATCATGAGAATGAAGCCAACTTGCTTGCGGTGGATAAACTTTTTGATGTGCTGCTGCATTCAGTTTGTGAGTATTTTATTAATAATTTTTGCATCGATGTTCATCAGGATTGTTGGCCTGAAGTTTTGTTTTCTTATGGTATCTCTGCCAGGTTTTGGTATCAGGATGAATCTGGCCTCTTAAAATAAGTTAGGGAGAAATCCATCCTTTTCAATTGTTTGGAATAGTTTTAGAAAGAATGGTACCAATTTCTCTTTGTATCTCTGGTAAAATTCGGCTGTAAATCTCTCTGTTCCTGGGCTTTTTTTAGTTGGTAGGCTATTTATTATTGCTTCAATTTCAGAGCTTGTTATTGGTCTATTCAGAGATTCAACTTCTTCCTGGTTCTGTCTTGGGAGGTTGTGTGTGTCTAGGCATTTATCCATTTACTTCTGGATTTTCTAGTTTGTTTGCATGGAAATGTTTATAATATTATCTAATTGCACTTTGTATTTCTGTGGGGCAGTGGTGATATCCCCTTTATAATTTTTTTGTCTGTTTGATTCTTCTCTCTTTTCTTCTTTATTTGTCTAGCTAGTGGTCTATCTAGTTCATTAATTTTTTCAAAAACCAGCTCCTGCATTCATTGATTTTTTTTTGAAGATTTTTTTTTTGTCTCTATCTCCTTCAGTTCTGCTTTGATCTTGGTTATTTTTTATCTTCTGCTCGCGTTGTTTTTTTTTTTTCTCTCTTAGTTCTCTAGTTCTATTAATTGTGATGTAGGGGGTGGATTTGAGTGAGGTCTTTCTAGCTTTTTGATTGGGCATTTAGTGCTATAAATTTCCTCTTAACACTGCTTTAGCTGTGTCCTAGAGATTCTGGTGTGTTGACTTTTTGTTCTTATTGGTTTCAAATAGCTTCTTGATTTCTGCCTTAATTTCATTATTTACCCAGGACTCACTTAGGAGCAGGTTGTTCAATTTCCACGTAGTTGTATGGTTTTGAGTGAGTTTCTTAATCTGGAGTTCTAATTTGATTGCACTATTTTCTGAGAGAGACTGTTGGTTATGATTTCAGATCTTTTTCTTTTGCTCAGGAGTGTTTTACTTCCCATTATGTGATTGATTTTAGTGTAAGTACCATGTGGCATGGAGAATAATGTATATTCTGTTGTTTTTGTGTGGAGAGTTCTGTGGATATCTGTCAGGTCCACTTGAAGTCAAGACCTGAATATTCTTGTATATTTTTTATCTCAATTATCTGCTATTGACAGTGGGGTGTTAAAGTCTCCTAATATTATTGTGTGGGAATCTAAGTCTTTTTGTAGGTCTCTAAGAACTTGTTTTGAGAATCTGGGTGCTCTTATACTGGTGCATATATATTTAGGATAGTTAGCTCTTCTTGTTGTATGGATCCCTTTACCATTATGTAATGCCCTTCTTTGTCTTTTCTGATCTTTGTTAGTTTAAAGTCTGTTTTTTCAGAAGCTAGGATTGCAACCACTGCTCTTTCTGCTTTCCATTTGCTTGGTAAATTTCCCCCATCCCTCTATTTTGAGCTTATATGTGTCTTTGTACATGAGATATGTCTGTTGAATACAGCACACTAATGGGTTTTGACTCCATACATCTTGCCATCTTGCCATTCTGTGTTTTTAACTGGGTCATTTAGCCCACTTACATTTAAGGTTAAGATAGTCATATGTGAATTTGATCCTGTCATCATGATGCTAGTTGGTTATTTTGCACTTTTTAATATAGTTGTTTCATAGTGCCATTGGTCTTTTTAGTTCAGTGTGTTTTTGCATTGGCTGGTAATGGATTTTCCTTTCAATATTTAGTGCTTTCTTCAGGAGCTCTTGCAAGGCAGGCCTGGTGGTGACAAATTCCCTCATATTTGCTTTTCCAAAAAGAATTTTATTTCTTTTTCACATATGAATCTTAGTTTGGCAGGATATGAAATTCTGAATTGGAAATTCTTTTAAGAACGTGGATTACTGGCCTCCAATCTCTTCTGGTTGTAGGGTTTCTGCTGAGAGTTCTGGTGTTGGTCTTATGGGTTTTCCTTCGTAGGTGATCTGGCCTTTCTCTCTGGCTGCCCTTAACATTTTTTTATTAATTTTGACCTTGGAGAATCTGATGATTATGTGTCTTGGGGTTGATCTTCTCATGGAGTATCTTATTGGGGTTCTCTGGATTTCCTGAATTTGAATGTTGGCCTGTCTTATTAGGTTGAGGAAGTTCTACTGTATGATATCCTAAATTATGTTTTTCAACTTAGTTCTGTTCTTCACATCTTTTTCAGGTACCCCAATCATTTATAGGTTCAGTTTTTTTACATAATCTCATAGTTCTTGAAGGTTTTGTTCACCCCTTTTCATTCTTCTCTAATCTGTCTGCCTGTCTTATTTCAGCAAGATAGTCTTCAAACTCTGAAATTCTTTCCTCTGCTGGTTCTATCTGGTTATTGATACTTGTAGTTGCATTGTGAAGTTCTTGTGTTGTGTTTTTCAGCTTTATCAGGTCATTTGTTGTCCTCTCTAAACTGGTTATTCTGGTTAACAGCTCCTGTAATGTTTTATCATGGTTCTTGGCTTCTTTGCATTGGGTTATAACACACTCCTTTAGCTCAGTGAAGTTTGTTACTACCCACCTTCTGAATCCTACTTCTGTCAATTCATCCGTCTCAGCATCTGCCCAGTTCTGTGCCCTTGCGGAGAGGTGCTGCGATCATTTGTAAGAGAGACTCTGGATTTTTGAGTTTGCAATGTTTTCTCATTCATTGTTTTTCATAGTCATGAGTTTATGTAGCTTTGGTGATTGAGGCTGCTGACCTTTAGATAGGGTTTTGGGTGGAGACTTTTCTGTTGATGCTATTGTTGTTGCTTTCTGTTTGTTTGTTTTTCTTTTAATGGTCACGCCAGTTTTCCATAGGGCTGCTGTGGTTTGTTGGGGGTCCACTACAGACCCTATAGTCTGGGTCCCTCCTGCACCTGTAGGTGTCACCCGTGGAGGGTGCAGATCAGCAAAGATGGCTGCCTTCTGCTTCCTGTTGGATTTGTGTCCCAGAAGGGCACCGATCTGATGCCAGTGGAACTCTCCTGTATAATATGTTTGATGACTCTTATTGGGGGTCACTGAGTCAGGAGGCACAGGATTCAGGACCTGCTTAATGAAGCACTCTGGCTGTTCCTTGGTGGAGGGGGTGCACTGTGCACCCCAAGCAGATTCCCACTTGTCTGGACTGCCGGGATTCCTCAGAGCCAGCAGGAGGAAAGACTAACTCTGCTGATCCATGGAGACCACAGCCACCACTCCCCGCAGGGGCTCAGTCCTAGGGAGATGAGAGTTCTGTCCCTAAACCCCCTGACTGGAGTTTGCTGAAATTCCTGCAGGGAGGCCCCGCCCAGTGAGGAGGGATTGGTCACTGTCTGGCCTAAAGAGGCAGTCTTGTCACAATCTTCCACAGCTGCTGTGCTACACTGTGAGGAATTCCTCCTGGGTCCAAACTGTCCAATCTCCCTGGCACCAGCAGGAGAATAGTGGCAGACTGGAACTGCAGCAATGGCTGCCTCTGCTCTCTCTGGAACCTCAGTCTTCTTAGGCAGCAGGCAGCTGCAGCGATAATGGCCACCCTTCCCCCCAGGAACTCAGCAGTCTTAGGCAGTCTCCAGCCAAGTGGCTGCTGAGAATCTGCGCCACTCTGTGCTTGGGACCCAAAGCCCTGGTGGCGTGGGCTCACGAGAGGGATCTCCTGTTCCATGGGTTGCACAAATCTGTGAAAAAAGCGTGGTTTCCAAGATAGGGTAGCATGATCACTCATTGCCTCCCTTGGCTGGGGTGGGAGTTCCCCTTTTCCCGTGTGGTTCCCAGGTGAGCCGTAGTACCACCCTGCTTTTCCTTACTCTCCATTGGTTGCACCAACTGCCTAGTCAGTCCCAATGATAGAACCTGAATACCTCAATTGACGATGCATGATTCACTCACCTTTTTCTTCTTCTTGGTGGGAGCCTCAGATGGCGGCTGTTTTAGTAGGCCATCTTGGCCCCTCCTCCCAAATACTAGCAATCTTAGACTTTCTTCTGCCCTCCAGAAACTTAGAACTCAGTTAAAGATCCAACAATAATATATACAAGTCACTTAATTAATTATATATGAATGTGTACAACTAAGTGCTAATTTGTATAGGAGAAATAATGCATGACAAGCATTATAAATATAGATTATGAGTTCAGAAAAGTGGAAGTTCAGTGAAGAAAAGCTGCATTAGAAGTAGAAAGAGATGATGTAAAAAATGGGAAGGTTTTGAGAATACAGAAAAACAGAGAAGACATTTCAGGCAATAACAAGAACAATGACAACATAATAACACACAGCAAGAGCAGTAATATAAAATGATGATTAATAAAAAGTAAATAAAATAAGAAGGTAATAATTTGAAAAGGATTAATATGTTTTTCTTTTTGTCTTTCTAACTATAAAATTTTAGCTAAAAACCAGGGTATTCGTCTATGCGAGCAGAAAGTGAAATTAGAGTTGATTACAGAGAAAGTGTAAAGATAAATTTTTAGGTAATAGTAAATTTGTGACCCTCTACGTTAATATGTATGTAGTATAAACAATATTCTAGGGACCGTGTGTGTTATACTCTTTACATACTTATTTCATTTGATCATTTGTAACAACCCTATGTGATTGATATCATTACTATTAATATTTTAAGGATTAGGATATTAAAATTAATTAATTTGCTGTAAAACCCATAGCTTATAAGTCTTTGTGGTGGCTTTCTAATGTGCCAACTTGGCTAGGTTGAATTCTATTTCTAATAAATTTATTTGCTCTATGTTGCTGGATGGAGTGGACCACAAGTGAGATTCTTTAGAGATTTAGAAAAAGGATGGGAAATAGCAGCTGTTTTGTCTCTTACACATATTATTGCTGATCTGCAAACTCACTTTGTTAGCATGAAGCAGTAGTTAGCCTGTAAGGGCTCCAGCATTTCCTGGATTTTCCTTTGACTTTTCCAAATCCTAACCTATGTGATGTGTTTATCTCCATGACAAAGAGCCCTGGCTTCTGTGTGACATCTACATTATCAAGGTCAGAGACAATGAGGACTTACATGGGTTTCAGTCTGCCCTCATACTGTCCCAATTTTTTCTTGGGACATCTATCTTTCTTACGTCTATCTTTCTTTCCCTGCTGCTTATCCTGTGGATTCAAGCTCTTGCATCAGCTGCAAGAATAGCCTGCTCCCACAATTGTAAAATTAATACTTTAACAGATCCACCAACTGTCTATCTATCTATTGATCTCTCTCTCTATTATCTATTCCTACCTATCATCCATATCTTTCAATCTAACCTTGGTTTTGTTTTCTAATAGAACCCTGTCTGACAAAGTCATGGATCCTGGATTTGAACACAGTAGATCTGTTTCAAGATTTTATACTCTCCACCACTCTTGCATGTGTGAACACAGATGTAGAGATACTTAGGAAAATAGCCTTGAACCATCTCGAACATAGTCTTATAATTCTTATTTGTCCCATTAAATTCATCTAATATATTTATGACTTTATGTAGGTAAATTTCTCTTTTTTGACTCAGTATCTGCAACTATAAAATAAAGATATTAAACTGGATCAAGGGTGTACTAGTCTGTTCTTACACTGCTCATAAAGACATACCTGAGACTAGGTAATTTATAAAGGAAAGAGGTTTAATGGATTCACAGTTCCACATGGCTGGGGAGGCCCCACAATCATGGTGGAAAATAAAGCAGGAGCAATGTCATGTCTTACATGGTGGCAGGCAAAAAGAGCTTGTGTAGGGGAACTCCCCTTTATAAAACATTCAGCTCTTGGGAGACTTATTTACTATCACAAGAACAGCATGGGAAATATCCACGCACATGATTCGATTACCTCCCACTGGGTCCCTCCCAGGACGTGGGAATTATAGGAGCTACAATTTTACATGAAATTTGGGTGGGGACACAGCCAAACCCTATCATTCTGCCCCCAACCCCTCCCAAATCTTATGCCCTCACATTTAAAAACCAATGATGCCTTCCCAACAGTCCCCCAAAGTCTTAACTCATTTCAGCATTAACTCAAAACTCCACAGTCCAAAGTCTCATCTGAGACAAGCCAAGTCCCTTCTGAGTATTACTTTCTAAATGCAATGGGAGTACAGGTATTGGGTAAATGCACTCATTCAAAATAGAAGAAATTGGCCAAAATGAAGGGGCTACATGCCCCATGCAAGTCTGAAATCCAGTGGGGCAGTCAAATCTTAAAGCTCCAAAATGATCTCCTTTGGCTCCATGTCTCACATCCAGGTCAAACTGATGTAAGAGGTGGGTTCCCATGGCCTTGGGCACCTTCATCCCTGTGACCTTGCAAAGTACATCCCCCCTGCTTCTGGCTGCTTTCACAGGCTGGCTTTCAGTGTCTGTGGCTTTTCCAGGCACATGGTGCAAGCTGTCAATGGATCTACCATTCTGGGGTCTGGCATATGGTGTCCCTCTTCTAACAGCTCCACTAGGCAGTGCTGCCTAGTGGGTACTTTGTGTGGGAGCTCCCACCCCACATTTCCCTTTTGCACTGCCCTAAAAGAGATCCCTGCAGCAAACTTCTGCCTGGACATCCAGGCATTTTCTTACATTCTCTGAAATCTAGAAATTAAGTCATGTTTAATTTTATCATTCGATCACTCCCTATCAATATATACTCATGGTAAAAGTAAATAAATATAAATAGCAATTTCCCAAACATTAATTCATAACTCCTTCTTAGCAAATATATTTGGTATATAATTCATTTGGTTCTACTAATCTCCATTTTGGGGGTGGATAAAATGATCATATATTGTAGCTTCAACTACTACCTCTATGTGGACACCTCATATGTTTGGTTGTACCATCTCTAGTTTTAACTCTAGTTTCATATCTCTACATGTTGACAGTATTATCATGTGGAAGTTTAATTACCACCTCATTCAATTTACCTACAATGAGGTTCATAACCTGCTCACCTCTCTTAAAAATATTGGCCTATTTCCCAAGTTCATTGATTCAACAAAAGGCATTAACATTCTCTCAATCAGGGTTCAATTTCTGAAGCAAATTTTTTACCCTCAAGCTCTGTGGATGTTCTCTTTAAAATCACTCTTTATTCAGTCCTTATGCCCTCTCCTTCCACACCGCCTCTGCTTCCCCGAAAATAAGGACTGGCTATAGATGCAGTTTATCTTTATTATAGCAGTAATTAAGTCCTATAATTTTGTTTTGCTTCAGCATCCATTTTGAATAAAAGTTGGGCTTTCTCATACCAGAAAGCTTAATTGCCCTTGACAAACTTTCTAGTTCTCCACCTCCTCCCAGTTCCTCAGTGTAGTCGACCCAGATATTTGCCTTGTACAACCACCTCCTGGTGTCCCACATCCCTGTGGAACAGTTAAATACAACTTATTTGACTCACCCCACTGACTCCTTTACCCCATATGGATTGTGCAGGTATGCCAAAGTTACTACCTCGCAGTCACAGTGTGATTCCATGGAACCTGCTTGCTCTAAACCCACCAGTTAGAACTTCTTGCAGGATACCTGCTTGATGAGTGCCCTGGAGTCCCATAAGTTAAGTCTAGAGTTTGTAGACACTCTTGTTATGAAGATCTCAAGACCAAATTAGAAACAAAAAATAATACAATAGGTCACCTAGCTAACTACAAAATGGACTGTTCTCTGATGTATCCAAGCCCTTTTCTTGGAGAGTGTTAATACCTTTACCTGCTCATTTATCATGTCTTTTATTATATCCACATGTGGTTTTTTTCGGATTGTATTAAAGAGGGAACTTCAACAGAGGATAGATAGAGGGATAAAAGACAAATCTAAAAATATAGCTATCTTTTCTTTTTACTGCTTAAACTCTACTCTTGTTTTCTAAATGTGGGTGATTGGTTACCATTTGTAATTCCCACTTTTACTCTCTGTAAGGGATTCCCATACTATTACAAATCCTAAAGCTTCTCTTAACACATTGTGAAGTGATACAATTTAATGCAAGCAGATTCTCAACTATAATGTTATTTTGTATTTCAGAAAACAAACAGTTGTTTTTCTATCTAAATGTGTACAAAGTTATTAATTGAGAAAAAAATGTTTTATATACCTAAATCTTTCTCTAATATTAGTTTTTTTCAGAAATATAAATGTGTGATGTCCTAGAATGACCACCCAATAACCAAATAAACTAGCAGAAAACAATCTATAGACATGCAGAGGGAGAATGGAGGAGATACATAAAACACTAGAGTAGTAAATTTTCTTACTCAATGTCGTATTCTGTCTTATATTTTGCTTCCCTGTGAAATATGTTTTAGTCTAGGAATAAATTTTACTCATAAAGCTCAAATAATTTTTATGTGAGTTTATTCTATGGGAATCACTGTTAAAAGTTGATTAGAAGGAAGTTCATTTAACAACAGCAAAGCATATGTTTTTATTTTCCTTTTCAAGCACAATTACTTCTTTAAAAGTGCACATTTAAAATATTATTTAGGAAATAACTCCCTAGTGTTTGAAAGAAAAAAAAACACACACAAATTCTGAATCTGCGATCTTGTGAAAGAACAGAGGAATAAAATCGCAAATTGTTAAAATCATTTAAGTTAAGACTTATTATTTGACCTTCAAATACTGGGTAGGTCCTTCTGATATTTTGTTTTATTATGAGGATATTTTTCTGGGCACCTGTCAGTTCTTCATATAGTAAAAAACTGTCAATATTAATCATAACCAAATAAAAACACAATTTGTGTTGTTTACTAAATCCTGTATTATAACTGTACATTTATTCCTTATGCAGTCACTAAAGCTTTAAATGGATATATGGTTGTTCACAAATTCTCCACTTTTCTCTTTTTGACACTTAAAATTATAAATCTTTCTATTTATTTATATATTCCTATTTGCAGGATTCACATTGTTATATCATAGGCTATGAAAATGAGATGGCTTCTTCCTGCCAGTATAGCCTAGACTATTAATACTACCCATGTTTGATTTCTTTCAAGAACAAAATATTGATATTGGAAGAAGTCAAGAAGTAAACTTATACCACACATAAAGCAGGTGTTGTAATGATTTAAATATAATAAAATTTCTTTTTTTTCTCTCTTTTATTATACTTTAAGTTCTAGGGCACATGTGTACAATGAGCAGGTTTGTTACATAGGTATACATGTGCCATTTTGGTTTGCTGAACCCATAAACTCATCATTTACATTAGGTATTTCTCCTACTGCTATCCCTCCCCCAGCCCCACACCCCACAACAGACCCTGATGTGTGATGTTCCCTGCCCTGTGTCCAAGTGTTCAATTCCCACCTATGAGTGAGAACATGCGGTGTTTGGTTTTCTGTTCTTGTGTTAATTTGCTGAGAATGATGGTTTCCATTCATCGATGTCCCTGCAAAGGACATGAACTTATCCTGTTTTATGGCTGCATAGTATTCCATGGTGTATATGTGCCACATTTTCTTAATTCACTCTATCATTGATGGACATTTGGGTTGGTTCCAAGTCTTTGCTATTGTGAATAGCGCCGCAATAAACATACATGTGCATGTGTCATAGTATCATGATTTATAATCCTTTGGGTATGTACCTAGTAATGGGATCGCTGGGTCAAATGGTATTTCTAGTTCTAGATCCTTGAGGAATCGCCACACTGGCTTCCACAATGGTTGAACTAGTTTACAGTCCCACCAACAGTGTAAAAGTGTTTCTATTTCTCCACATCCTCTCCAGCATCTGTTGTTTCCTGACTTTTTAATGATTGCCATTCTAACTGGCATGAGATGGTATCTCATTGTGGTTTTGATTTGCATTCTCTGATGACCAGCGGTGATGAGCATTTTTTCATGTGTCTGTTGGCTGCATAAATGTCTTCCTTTGAGAAGTGTCTGTTCATATCCTTTGCCCACTTTTTGATGGGGTTGTTTGTTTCTTTTCTTGTAAATTTGTTTAAGTTCTTTGTAGATTCTGGATATTAGCTCTTTGTCGGATGAGTAGATTGCAAAAATTTTCTCCCATGCTGTAGGTTGCCTGTTCACTCTGATGGTGGTTTCTTTTGCTGTGCAGAAGCTCTTTAGTCTTGCTGCATTCCCATAAGAAATGTCCTGACTGGCTTATACAATTTTCTAAACTTTCAGATACACACATATCTTACTTTTACCATTGTACTATTTTTAAAAATCACTACTGTATTTTTGCTTTAATCTGGAGTTTTGTTGCTTGCTAAACCTTGTACATATATTGTAAATTAAATTGTTTCATTATTTAGAATATTTACAAATTTTTCTGTATTTAAAATAATGACAATTTATATATTCACCTAAATATTTAACTTATAGTTACCATAGACCTGTAGTTCCATTAATAAATCCATAGTGTACTCCATGAAAGCAACATAAACTACAGGTCCATAACCACCAAGACCATTTTTAACAACATATTTATGCAAAGTTTTCACTGGAGTAGCTGAAGTTGATTTCCTTCCAATTACATCTCCTTTTATATCTGCTAGAAGCTGTTTGGTGGAATATTGATGGTTCATTATTTCTGAAGTAATGACTTTGGTCTTTGAAAAATTTAAAAACTCTATTACAAAATCAATAGTTTTGAGACCAGTTAAATTTACTGTAGTCTTTTATTTTTTCTCCTATTCTATTCAAAGGGTATATGCTGGTCAAAGTCATAGTTTCCCCAGTATCTGCTGCCAAAATGCCTCATAATGTTCTTGTATGGCTAGTGACTTGAGCCATCTGCATTTCTTGATTTTTTAAAACTTTGTTCAATGAGTAATTATTTTGCATTTCAAAATGCTAGATTATTTAAATTTTTACTACAATTTGATTTCCAAATTTTGAGATTAACATAGACTAGTTTTAAAGGGAATAAAGTAAATGCTTTCTGTTAGGAAATCCAAAACATCTGAAATCAATTTAGGAGCTGAAAACATTTCATCTAAAACAAATAATTTAGGAAAATTATTTGATATTGTCCATTTATTATAAGGATAATTATAAAAGCAATATAATGTGTTATTTTCCAGCCCATGGAGATTATGAGATTCAGTTATGATAGAAGGAAATAGTTCTTGCTGTGAAGGTTGTTAAATCTTGACATTCACCATTGAAAGACATTTTATAATATACATAACCATATATTTTTAATTATTACAACTATGCAGCAGGTCAATCCTCTGTGACACATGCACTGTTTTTGAGCACTTAACATATGCCAGGCTTTGGTCTAAATACTTCAGGTGTGTGAATTCATTTAATTTTTACACATCCTATGAGAGAAATATTATTCCAACTATAAAGACCAGGAAATTGAGACCAAAATTGGAACCACTATATGACATTCTGATAATTAGCTGAAGTCTTTATATTTCATTGCTTAAACTTTCAACTCTTTTCATTGCAATGGTTATTTAATTTGTTGCAAAGTTTATTGCCTTCTGATATTCATCATGACTTTCCATGTTTTATTACACTTTATTGTAATAAATAATGTAATATAAGCCTATATTAATTATTATGTGCAAAGCACTTGTTTAATGTTTTATATATACTACCTCTTTGCAGGAAAGTAAAGAGATTTCAAGATAATATAGTAGATTAGTTAAAAGCAAAAACTGTGAATCTAGGCTGCCTAGAATTGAATTCTCACACTATAACTTACTAGCTATGTGACAAATTAGTTGATCATTCCCTGCCTTAGTTTTCTCATTTGTAGAATGGATTGTTGTGAGGATTAAAGGAGTATTGGCATTTATGTATCAATTGGCCATCTATTTATCATCTATCAATCTATGTAGCATTTCAAAAGTGCCTTGTACATACTAAACGCTATAGTGGATAAATGTTAAATGCTATTACCTATTAAATGGATTAAGTAAACTGACTGACTAAAGTCCACAGGACCAACAGAGTTGAAAGCTCCAACCTAGGTCTGATAAGTTACCAAGGCCAAGTTCTTTTTTTTTTTTTATTTTGTTCAAAAAGACACACATACGAATTTCCATCCTCTTAACAAATATTTAAGTGCAGAGTACTGTGTTGCTAACTATAATCCCAATGGTGTAGAATAGATTTCTAGAACATTTTCATCCTGCTTGAAGGAAATTTTATATCCTTTGAACAGCAACTCTCCATTCTCCATTCCTCCCAGCCCCTGGCAAACAACATTCCACTCTGTACTACTATGAGTTTGACACCTTTACATATATCACATAAGTTAAATCATACAGTTTCTGTCCTTCTGCAACTGGCTTATTTCACTTAACATAAAGTCCTCAAGGTTCATCCAGATTATAGCATATGGCATATTTTTTATCACTAAATAAATTCCATTGTATGTATATATCACATTTTCTTTATTCATTAGTCCATGGGCATTACCTCTTGGCTACTATAAATAATCTGCCCAGAATATGAGAGTACAAATATCTCTTCAAGATCTGGATTTCAGTTATTTTGAAAAAATAGCCAGAGTTGGGAAGGCTGGATCACATGGTAGTTTCATTATTAATGTTTTCAGGAAACGTTATACTGTTTTTCCCTAGCAGCTTTATTATTTTACATATTTCCCTTCAGTGCTCAAGTGTTCCTTGTGTTCTACAACCTCATCAACACTTGCTATGTTTGTTGGTTTTTGTTTTTAAATTCTAACAAGTATAAGGTAATATCTCATTGTTGTCGAGTTGCATTTCCCTGGGGATTAGGATGTTGAGCAACTTTTAACATTCCTCTTGGCTATTTGGACATCTTCTTTGAACAAATATCTATTCAGATCATTTTATTACTTATTAATTGGGTTATTTGGGGTTTTTTTGGTATTGAGTTGTAGTTTTTTATATATTTTGGATATTAAGCTATCAGATATATGGTTTGCAAATATTCTCCTACAGACTGTAGGTTGCCTTTTTATTCTGTTGGTTATTTCCTTTGTTGTGCAAAAGCGTTTTAGTTTGATATGGTCCCACTGGTCTATTTTTGCTTTTCTCACCTGTACTTTTGGTGTTATATCCAATATATCATTGCCAAGATCAATGTCATGAAGATTTTCTCCTATTTTTTTCTAGAAGTTTTACAGTTTACATTCTACAATTAAGTCTTTAACTCATTTTGAGTAGGTTTTTGTGAATTATGTGACATAAAAGCCCAATTTTATTCTTCTGCATGTGAATTTGCAATTTTCTCATCACCATTTGTTGAAGAGACTACCCTTACTCCACTTTGTATTCTTAGCACCCATGTTGAAGCTCTGTTGACCATATATGCATGATGTTATTTCTGGGCTTCCTATTCTGCTTTATTGGTCTAAGTGTCTATTTTACGCTAGTATCATACTATTTTGATTACTGTGGCTTTGTAGTGTGTGTTAAAATTAGGATGTTAGAGTCCTTTGTCTTTGTTTCTCTTAAGATTTGGGTACAATCCTTTATAGTCTCATATAAATTTTAAGATTGCTTTTTCTATTAATGTAAAAAAATTGAGTTTCTTATACAGATTGGAAAAACCTGCAGGTCATTTTGAGTAGTATGTATATTTTTACAATATTAACTCTTCCAATTCATAAACACAGGGAATCTTTGCATTTATTTTTATCTTCTTTACTTTCGTTCACCAGTGTTTTGTAGTTTTCAGTATACACAAGTCTTTTTCCTTTTTGGCTAGGTTATTCATATGTATTTTATTATTTTGATGCTATTGTAAATGACATTATTTTCATAACTTCTTTTTCCAATATTTCATTGTCAGTGTACAGAAACACAATTTTTGTACATTTATTTTGTATTCTGCAATTATATTGAATTTGTTTTTTAGTTCTAACAGTGTGTGTGTGTGTGTGTGTGTGTGTGTGTGTGTGTGTAATCTTTATAATTTTATTTCTACCTATCTGATTTAGATGCCCTTTTTTACTTATTGCCCTGGCTAGAAACTCCAGTACTGTGTTGAACAGAAATGGTGAGAGTGGGCATCCTTGACTTTTTCCTCACCTTAGAGAAAATAATTTCAGTTTTTCACCATTGAATATAATAGTTGTGGGCTATCCATATATGGCTTTTATTACTTTGAGTTAATTTCTTCTATTTCTAGTCTGTTTTTATCATGAAAAGTTGTTGAAATTTCTCAAATGTTTTTTCTGTACCTATTGAGATGATCAAATAATTTTTATTTTTCATTCTATTAATATGGTATATCACATTGACTGATAGCTTCCTATATTATTTTTTTTTTTTTTTTGCATTCTAGGGGTAATTCCACTTGGTCATGATGTATGACCCTTTTGTTATCTTGTTGAATTTAGTTTGCTAGCTTTTTGTTGTGGGTTTTTGCATTTATGTTCTTCAGGGATATTGGCTCATAATTTTCTTTCCTAGTAGACTTCTTGCCTTTCTTTGGTATCAGGGTCATGTCGGCTTCATAAAATCAGTTCAATAGTGTTCCCTGTTCTTTATTTTTTGGAAGAACTTGAGAAGGATTGGTGTTAATTCTTATTTATGTTTGGTTGAACTCACCAGTAAGGCCATATATTCCTAAGCTTTTCTTTTTTGGAAGGTTTTTTTCATTCATTCAAACTCCTTACCAATTATCAGTCTGTTCAGACTTTCTATCTCTTCATGATTCATTCTTGGTAGATTATATGTTTGTAGGAATTAATCCATCTTTCCGAGTTATCCAATTTGTTAGTGTACAACTGTTCATAATAATCTCTTATAATCATTTTATATTTCTGTGACGTCAGTTATAATGTCTCCTCATTTTTTATTTTATTTATTTGAATTTTTTCTTTTTTCAGTCTAGCTGAAGTTTTGTGAATTTTGTTGGTCATTCCAAAAAGTAACTCACTTTTATTGAGTTTTTACCAATTATTTTCTATTTTGTTAGTTCTGATTTAATATTTATTATTTACTTTAGTCTGCTAATACGGGCTTAGTTTCTTTTTCTTTTTTTAGTTCTTTGAGTTTGTGCACACACACACACGCAGCACAAAACAATAAACAGAGGTGAAATGCTATAATCTGATATATTAAACTGAGCATTCAGAAACCAGAAATATTAAGCTTAACCTGCCATAGTCTTAGCATAATCAATTTAACATAAATACTCATTATACTAAAGTATTTAATAAATTGTACCATTGGGGCTCTTCTAGGTGTATGTCATTTAATTTGGCTTGTAATTTGTCACATTTATGGAGATAATATCAGGGTCTCTATGCCATAAGCATTGTGTTTTGCAACTCAAGGGCCAAAGCAAGCCAAGATTTAAGTGTAGCTTATCAACTTCTATTCCAGATCTTGAAATATGTATGCTATTTGTAGCTAATATGTGTAGAAAGTAGCACTCTGGAATTTAGTTTTAGGTCAAAATTAAGATTTGCTATTTTTTCTTCAGTGGACCCAGGAATTAATTAAGAGGGAAAAAATATTCTGGTCTATTCTGGTCCTAGGAAAGATGAGCAACTTGATTGTACAGAATGAGGAAGCTCCATAAGCATACTTCTATACTTGTAAACTTCATTGAGTTAACATATGTTGACAAAATATTTTGTGTTATGTATTACTGAGTATTCAATGTATTGACAACCCAACATATGTCTAAGCAATGACCTATACTTTTCAATATATTATCACAGATAATAATAAGAGGATAGTTTAGGGAACTATTCTATCAGCTTGTAATAGTAAGCCACATTTCCTACAAGAGTAAAGACAAAGATTCAAGAACACTATTTCCAGGCCTGGCACTGTGGCTCATGCCTGTAATCCTAGCACTTTGGGAGGCCGAGGCGGACAGATCACTTGAGGTCAGGAGTTCGAAACCAGCCTGGCCAATATGGTGAAACCCCATCTCTAATAAAAATACAAAAAAAATTAGCTGGGCATGCTGGCAGGTGCCTGTAATCCCAGCTGCTCAAGAGTCTGAGGGAGGAGAATTGCTTGAACCCTGGAGGAGGAGGTTGCAGTGAGCCAAGATCGCACTCCAGCTTGGGTGATTGATAGAGTGAAACTCTGTCTCAAAAAAAAAAAAAAAAAAAAGAAAAGAATACTATTTTCAAGTCATCCTGCAAGTGACTCAAAGGAAGGTGAAAGAATTAAAATATTAGTTTGAGAAATTTATTCTATCATAGGTAAAATTATTTAAAACAGCACTATTAATTATACAATTCAAACCATATATAAATAATTAGGCACAAATTCCTCCATCACAAATTAAAATGTACAGGTATAGGAAATTTGATTTCCATACTAGTAGCATGGCAGGCATTTTTCAGTTGGGATTATTCAGAGCTTCTTAGGTAATAAAAGAAAGTATTTCTATTTCTGAACAGATTTGGGTAGAGATAAATTATTAACACTGGCAGTGAAACCAGATCATTAGAAAAAATATTATCTTACAACAAAGACACTTTAATTCTAATATTTTTTCTCCTATATATCGTTGTTACCAGTCTTCATGGTAAAAAAATTGTTTAGGTAATTAGTTTAGTGCTCAGAGAGGTTGCCTCATATAGGGAGATATGATTGTTTACCAATTATACTCATGACACAGTGAACTGTTTAAGATTTGCAGACAAAGGAAACTTAAATTTGAGCAGGTAATTTGTTATGGAAACATAATAGGTTAATGATACAGTGACCATCAAAACTCAAAATTTCAGCTTCCTGTTTGTATGAGTGCAAAGCCAGTGGGCTAGGCAATCTGACCTTTTTTAGATTGTATTGTTTTGTGTTAAATTTTAATTTTTAAATTCTGATTAGTTTTCTGAATTTATAACTGGAAAAAAAATTGAGGTCATTAGTGTTTTTAGTCTTCCTGGATGCTTTAGAATCCAAGGAAGTGGTGTTTCTAATCAATTTTTAGCAGTAAAACATCAGACCCCTTTGTAAAGCTCTGAAGAGTCTATAAGAAAAATAAATGGATTTAAAATAGATGATTTTATTATTTTTTTTGCCAGCATTTTTTTAACCTTTTAATCTATAAAGAGATCACTCTTGTGGTTGCAGCATTTAGAAAGACACCTGTTACTTTTCATGATTACTGATAATATATGCCATTATATATGTTATAGATTTATAGAATCTGGAAATTCTAATCTTAAATTTACTGTTAGAGAAAAGTATTACCAATATCATATTTACTAGCCCAGGGTTGATTCTTGCAGCGTAATCCTGGTGGTAGGCAGCTATAAAATAATTTTTCTGCTTCCATTACTACTTTTTAGGCATCTTGGATCAAACATTTTTTGGTCCACTCTCACCTTATTTTTTCTATCAGGTAAGCTGTAACTAGGGGTGTCAAATGACTTGAAACAGACAAGTTGACTGCAGAAAAAATCCTGCCCCCAGATGGCTTAATAAGTGAGCACTGTAGATTCCCAAGCTGGAGTTTGCCAGCTCTTCCTGGAGTGAAAATGCTCAGTTTCCTTGCCATGCACCGTGCATTTCATTCTCTCCCATTGCTCTGTGCACTTGTGTGTACTGTGCCAATCCACTCTGCATCATGACATGAAGTTTCAGTGTCAGAGGTGGTATTGTCATATGAACTTGTTTATGATACTTAACTCTGGGAGTACGTGAGTATTGGAGAAGAAACAAAAGTTTGAAATGTGTATAGCCAGCATCTAAGCTATAGAAATGTGTTCCAAATCTTGCAGTTTATGTATGAAAGAGACATCGTAGTCAATTGTATAAATTTGATTAGAATCCTATAGTTTAATTACATTACCAAGAATGAGTTGTAAAGTTGAAAGAAACTTTCCTAAACTATGCTAGAGGAAAACCAAATTATGTTTCTCTTTTCTCTATAGAAAATAATGTCACAAAATCACTGTGCTATGAAGAGCTAATCAAAGCATTGGTAACAAAAAATAGAAAAATAATATGAAAGAGGTTTCTCAGTTAATTAAAAATATTATGTTCTTTTTCTGGATGTTGTGAAGTTTGTGATACTTGTCAGCTTTTATAAATTTGTAATTTTGTGTGATTTCCTTTGCTCATTCTAAAGAAACATTCACTTTCATTCCTAATTTGTTATTCTTTTACTTAAAGAGTTCACTTCAAATTATATAAGGGGCAAAACCTACAAAGCCTGAATCCACCAGTGCACCTACATGAGACAATCTTACTTGCTTTCTTGTGTTTATTAGTTTTGCAGCAGATATTTCTGCTACTACTCCTCTCTGAGGTATAATTATACACGCTTCTGTAAGATCCTTCTATTGCTACAGATCTTGTAATGGCAACTTTTTGTAAGAATTTGTATATTGCATCTGAATAACACAGAACAGCAAAGCAATTTTGCATAAGCTTTTGGCATTGTTGACCCCATCAAAATGTTTAAATTATTCCCAAATGATTGGATTGATTCAGTCCTTTTGGACTATGTTTTCAATGCATGCCGTGAAACTGAAGTTCTTTGGCAGCATTTGTTTTTTTCTGGCAGGTTAGAGAAATTAGACTTTTCAACATGGGAATTCAAGTTAGCAAAATTTAAAAAAGAAATAAATAGAAAGAGAGAGAGGGAAATATAAAGAAATAAAGAACAGTATACTGATCTCCATACATTTGGAGATTATAACTCTATTTCAAGCAATTATGATAATTTTTAGCATTTACATGACTGCCTTTGTATTATAGAAACTGTTAGATTATGATGATTGTATAGGCCAGATTTATATTTGCAGCAAAAGCAAAACAAGGATACTACAAAAATGATCACAACTTGAAATAATTTGTTAATTTGTTACTTGTTAGTCATGCTGTGGTAAGGCTTTTCTTTAACATTGGTGTACTTTATTTGTGAATTTCATTTATAGGATCAGTAAGCATAGCCTAAGGTCCATTGAATCTTAATGAAAAATGAGGCACTTTCAGTAATTAACTGCAATATTACATCAATTCCATTTTAAAGGTTTCAGGGAAAGGTACGTTTTATAATTTCCCAATAAAAATATAAATATTTAGCAGTTCTGATTATCAGAAAATGTATACTTAAATCCAGCTTAATTCTTTCCACAATAATTGGTATTTTCTTGTTCATCTGTGTTTGGTAAAAAGTAGTGGTTGTGTAAGTGTAGTTATATTTAAATATCTGTTATTTTTAAATTGTGAAGCATTCAGAAGAGTAATACAAAATTATCTACAACTCTGTAATGTAAACATAGTACTTTACCTCTGATTTGAAAATATGGACAATTTAGAGAAAGAGAATCATTTAACAAAATACAGGCAAGTTTAAAATAGCATTATTCTGGACACATGAATATGTTTGAAATTCAAAGATAAAGGAGATATTTGCAGCTAGGGTTAATGGAGCAAAATGTTTAGCTTTAGAGGTATGTCTTAAGATTGAGTGGGAAAAAAAGAATGAGTTTCTATTGTTGTAGAGTTTAAACAAAGACAATGACAATGACACAAAAGAAAGCAAAAACAAACAACAACAACAACAAACCTCCTTTTGAGAGAATAGTAAAAATAAAGAACAGAAAACCAAACCTTTCCATAAAATGTTTGAGAAAGCAGTCCTTTCTAAATTATGAAATTTATAAATATCATCATCATTACCCAGTAAGCCATATGTGAAACTTCAGAATCATCTATGATTTATCTATAAACTTCTTGCCCATCAGTTAGTCACCAAAACATTAATTATTGTATTATCTCTCCCTCACACAATTGTTATGTTAGAATTTAGTATGGAGGTTATTCCAAGTTCTCAACATACCACTGGTCAGTTATTAGCAATGTAGCCTTGAGTGAGCATATAACCTATAATAATCTCAAGTCACTTTAGTTGTAACACAGTAATAATAAAAGCACATGCCTAATTTGCGTGGTAGATACTGCAGGACATTTATAAAGCACATAGCAGGTAACATAATAACTCTTCACTGAATATTACCTTTAATATTTTTTATTATTCCAATACTAACCTCTAGTTTTGGCCTTAACTACTTATGCTTAGTTATTCTAATAACCTTCATATTCATCCCTCTGACTATTATTTCCCCACAACAAGCTATCTTACATGCCTTTGCTAGATCAATATTCCAAAATCATAGTTCTTATCATGTTTCTTTACTTCTCAAAATCTGTTCTTATATTTTATGTATCCAAATAATCAATTTTAATACAATTTGCCTGTCATTCAAGCCATTCAATGTCCACATTTTGTCCTTCAAGCTTTTGTGTTTGGTTCCAGATCACCTCAATAAAGCAAATATCACATTAAAGCGACTGGCATTAATGTTTTGTTTTCCCAGTGCATATACAAGTTATGCTTACACTTTGCTGTAGTCTATTAAGTATGCAAGAATAACATTATGTCTAAAAACATGTGCATACCTTAGTTTAAAATTGCTTTATTGCTGAAATATGTTATCAGTCATCTGAGTCTTCAACAAGTCATATTCTCTTGAGTGGTGGAGGGTCTTCCCTAGATGTTGATAGCTACTGACTGATCAGGGTGGTGGTTACTAAAGGTTGGGGTAGCTGAGGAAGTTTCTTTTTTTAATTTAATTTTATTTCAATATTTTTTGGGGGGAACAAACATTTTTTATTAGATAGATAAGTCCTTTAGTGGTGATTTCTGAAATTTTGGTGCACCCCTCACCTGAGCAGTACACACTCTACCCAATGTATGATATTTTATCCCTCACACCCCTCCCACTCTTTCACCCAAGTCTCCAAAGTCCATTATATCATTCTTAGGCCTTTGTGTCCTCATAACTTAGCTCCCACTTATAGGTAAGAATATAGGATTTTGGGGTTTCTATTCCTGAGTTACTTCATTTAGAATAAGGGTCTCCAACTCCATCCAGGTTGCTGCAAATGCCAATATTTCAATTCTTTTTTTATGGCTGAGTAGTATTTCTTGGTGCGTGTATATATATACTGTATTTTCTTTATCTACTCATTGGTTGATGGGCATTTAGGATAATTCTGTATTTTTGTAACTGCAAGTTGTGCTGCTATAGACATGCATGTGCAAGTGTCTTTTTCACATAATGATGTAGTTTCCTTTGGGTAGATACTCAGTAGTGGGATTGCTAGTTAAAATGGTAGTTCTACTTTTAGTTCTTTGAGAAATTTCCATACTGTTTTCCATAGTGTTTGTACTAGTTTACATTCCCATCAGCAGTGTAAAAGTGTTCTTTTTTCACCACATCCATGCCAACATTATTTTTTGATTTTTTAAATTATAGTGATTCTTGTAAGAATGAGTTGTAGTTTTAATTTGCATTTCCATGGGAAGTGTTTCCATTTGTGTCATCTGCGATTACTTTTTCAGCAGTGTTATGTAGTTTTACTTGTAGAGACATTTCACTTCCTTGGTTAAGTATATTCCTAAGTATTTTATTTTATTTTTATTTTTTGGAAGCTGTTGTAAAATCAACTGAGTTCTTGATTTGATTCTCAGCTTGGTGTTTTTTGGTGTACAGCAGTGCAATTGATTTGTGTACACTGATTTTTATCCTGAAACATTACTGAATTCATTTGTCAGATCTATGAACTTTTTGGATGAGTCTTCAGGGTTTTCTAGTTATATGAACATATCATTGGTGAACAGTGACAGTCTGACTTTTCTTTTCTGATTTTGATACCTTATATTTCTTTCTCTTGTCTGCTCTAGTCAGGAATTCCAGTAATATGTTGAATAGAAGTGGTGAAAGTGGACATCATTGTCTTGTTCCAGTTCTCAGAGGGAATGTTTTGAACTTTTTTTCCATTCAGTGTAATATTGGCTGTGGTTTTTTTTCATAGATGGTTTTTCTTACTTTGAGGTATGTTCCTTCTATGCCAATTTTGCTGAGGGCTTTAATAATAAAGGGATGCTGGAATTTGTCAAATACTGTTTCTGCATCTATTGGGATTATAATATATTTTTTGTTTTTAATTATGTTTATGTGATGTATCACAGTTATTGACTTGCATATATTAAACCATCTCTGCATCCCTGGTGTGAAACCCTCTTGATCATGGTGTCTTCTCTTATTGATATGCTATTGGATTCATTTAGATATATCATTATATAATGTCCATCTATTTCTTTTTCTTTGTTATTGTTGTTGCTTTAAAGTCTGCTTTGTCTGACTATAAGTATAGCTACTCCTGCTCACTTTTGGTTTCCATTTGCATGGAATATATACTTTTTACCCCTTTACCTTAAGTTTATGTGATTCTTATTTTTTAGGTGAGTCTCTTGAAAATAGCAGATACTCGGCTGGTAGATTATTCATTCTGCCATTCTGTGTCTTTTAAGTGGAGCATTTAGGCCATTTACATTCAACATTAGTATTAAGATGTGAGGTACTGTTCTATTTATCCTGTTAGCTGTTGCCTTAATACTTTTGTTTTTCATTGTGTTATTTTTGTATAGGCCCTGTGAAATTTATGCTTTAATGAAGTTCTATTTTGATGTATATTGAGGTTTTGTTTCAAGTTTTAGAACTCCTTTTAGAATTTCTTGCCATGCTAGCTTGGTAATGACAAATTTTCTCAGCATTTGTATAACTGAAAAATACTTTATCTCTCCTTCAATTATGAAGCTTAGTTTTGCTGGATACAAAACTCTTGGCTGACAATTATCTTGTTTAAAAGGCTAAAGACAGGACCTCAAGCTCTTCTGGCTTGTAAGTTTACTGCAGAGAAATAGCTGTTAATTTGGTAGGTTTTCCTTTATAGGTTATCTGATCCTTTTGTCTCACAGGTCTTAAGATTCTTTCTTTTGCCTTGACTTTAGATAACCTGATGATTATTTGCCTTAGTGATTATCTTTTCACAATAAATTTCCCAGGAGTTCTTTGAGCTTCTTGTATTTGAATGTCTAGATCTCTAGCAAGGCCAGGGAAGTTTCCCTCAATTATTCCTTCAAATAAATTTTCCAAACTTTTAGATTTCTGTTCTTCCCCAGGAACACCAATTGTTCTTAAGTTTGGCCACTTAACATAATCCCAAACTTCTTGGAACCTTTCTTCATTTTTTATTACTTTTACTTTGTCTTTGTAGGATTGGTTTAATTTGAAAGCCTTGCTCTGAAGTTCTTCCTTCTACTTCTTCTATTCTGTTGTTGCAACTCTCCCCTGCATTTTGTATTTCTCTAAGTGTGACTTTCATTTTCAGAAGTTGTGATTGTTTTTTCTTTATGACATCTATTTTTCTGAAAATGTTCTAATTCATATCTTTTATTGTTTTTTTCAAAATTGCTTTAAGTTGGTTTTCATGATTTTCTGTTATCTCCTTGAGTAGCTTAATAATCATCCTTCTGAATTCTTTTTCTTTTTTTTTTTTTTTTTTTTTTTGGAGACTGAGTCTCACTCTCTCACCCAGGCTGGAGTGCAGTGATGTGATCTCGGCTCACTGCAACCTCTACCTCCTGGGTATGGGTTTAAGCGATTCTCCTGCCTCAGCCTTCTGAGTAGCTGGGATTACTGGTGTGTGCCACCATGCCCTGCTAATTTTTGTATTTTTAGTAGAGACGGGTTTTCACCATGTTGGTCAGGCTGGTCTCAAACTCCTGACCTTGTGATCTGCCCACCTCGGCCTCCCAAAGTGCTGGGATTATAGGCGTGACTTCTGAATTCCTTACCTGGCAATTCAGAGATTTCTTCTTGGTTTGGATCCACTGCTAGGGAGCTAGTGTGATCTTTTGGGGGTGCTTTAAAACCCTGTTTTGTCATATTACCAGAATTACTTTTCTGGTTCCTTCTCATTTGAGTAGGCTAGTACTTAAAATTTTTTTTGGAATTTATTTTTAATTGAACTGTGTTTTTATTTAATATATATTTCTTTTTTATTCTCTTAAGGATCAGACTTTAATGTTTATTTTAGCCTAATTTGATTCTTGATGCTTGTAGGGGTGATGACTCTCTAAGAGATCCTTAGTTATGAGAGTCTTTGCGTTCTGGTTTTCCCTAATGCTGATTGTAGTAGTTATATTCTTGGTGTGTGGGTAAGTTTACTATCTCCTATGGAGTTGGAAAGGCAAGGATCTCTTGAAGCATATCTCATTCTCTTGTGGTATACACTTTATTTATTTATTATTGGTCCTTGTATTTTATTTACTAAGTTGATGAATCAGGCTTCAGGCCAATAGGGGAGATATCCGTGGGTAAGCATTGATTCTGACTAAGGCAGATGGGTAGATGTAATACCCAATGTTGGGTCAAGGTCCCAGCCATAATGAGGATGGCTGAGTGAACTCTCAATTAAATGTGCTGAGGTTTTATCAGGGTGAAGAGTGGGAGCTACCTCAGCTTCCTGCCAGATCAGCAGGAAAGCTTCACAGCCTCACTCCTGCTTTATGTTTCAGCTATTCAGATCATACAGGCACCACTTTTTGTCTATGGAAATGCTGATGTTTCAAGTAGGGGGGAATTGTGACTCTGCCACACTTGCAGGCCTGAATCTGGGGTATGCTCCTCCTATGGGGCTGCACTCACCAGGACTGTTCCACAAAGGCTGTATATAGGTGACTCTATACTGCATTCCTGTGGGGGAAGCCCCAGCTGTGTCTGCAGTAGAGTACCGGGGGGAAGAAGGACCCCTTCTCCAAGGCTCTTCATGATCACTGAGGCTGCCTGCCTGTTGTGGTATAGGTACAGAATTTTTATTACTGCATCCAGCACTGCAATTGTGTTTCTGCTGTGAGAAAGATCTGGAACTTAAGGCCTGCTGTTCAGATTCTTTTGTCCCATGGGGTGATTCTTTGATGTGGTGTTCTCCCCTTCCCCTTAGGGATAGGGCTTCCTGAGAACCAGACTGCAGTGATTGTAATTGATCTTTTGGATCTAGCCACCCTGTGGGGCTACCAGGCTCTGGGCTGGTGCTGGGAAATGTCTGCAAAGAATCCTGTGATGTGATCAGTCTTTGGGTCTCCCAGCCATGGATACCAGCACCTGCTCTGGTGGAGACGGCAGGGGAGTGATGTAGACTCTGAGAATCCTTGGTTGTAGACAGGTTAAATCCTGGTTTTCATGAATGCTGGTTATGCTAGCAGTGAAGTTGTCACATGGACAGACTCAGGACCTCTGGTAGCCAGGATGTTGCAGGCAGTGGTATTAGTTGCTGTTTTCTCCTTCCTGGGAGGAGCATTATTCTGTCATGAGATGCTGTAATGGCTTTATCTGGTTGACCTCCAGCCAGGAGGTGGCACTTTCAGGAGATCCCAGCTGTTGTATTAGCAGTGGAATTTGAGCTTGCCCTAAGTTGGCCAGGGGAAGTATTCTGATTTCTCAGGTGATGGGTGGGGCCACAAAACTCCCAAGAGTTTGTGTCTTTTGTGTTTGGCTACCAGGGTGGGTAGAGAAATACCATCAGATGGGGGCAGGGTTAGGCTGATCTGAGTAAAGACTCTTCTTGGGCAGGGCTTGCAGCTGTCACTGTGGGGATAAGCAGGTAGTTCTCAGGCCAATGGGGTTATGTTCCAGAGGGTATTATGGCTGCCTCTCCCATACAGGAGACTTCACTAGGGAAGTAGGGGGTGACTGGTAGTAAAAGGCTTCACTCAGCCTCCACACAGTTGGCAAGGCTGGTCTTGTTCCCACAGTGCCCCACTAACAGTGCAAGTGGTCAGTTTAGATCCACGCTGCCTGTGCACAGAACTCAGACCCTCCCCAGGCCATAAGATTCCCCGCTGAAAAAGCAAGCACAGTGTTCACGCCACACCCCTCTCCATTTACCTGCAATGGTGGATAACCCCTTCCTACGCTCATTTCTGCTGCGGTTCCCATTCATCCCCTAGATTCTGTTCGAGGGATTTTGTTCCCACTTGAAATTATCACAACATTTATTTGGAAGCTTCTTTCACCCTGTGTCCCCTCCCTAATTCTGCTGGCTGCCTTCCCTGAGGGCCCCTGTGAGATAAAGTCAGAGATGGCTTCCATGGGCTCAAACTGGAGACTGGGAGTGCCTACGAGGCTCCTCATACTGCTGCTTCTACTTTTGTATTTCACATGGCTCCCTAAATCCATTCCAGTGCTAGATAAGGTTAAATTCTTCTCCCGTTATCTGAAATTTTAGATTTCCCAGTGGGGATGTGTGTTCAAAGGCAGGTTTTCTCACTCTCACAATTTGGGAACTCAAAGCTTTTCACTCGTCCTGCAGAGTTTGCAGTGGTATGTCACTTCTTTCAAATATCTGTTAATTCTTTTGGTTTTCCTGATATGTTCCTGCAGTAATTCTTGGAACAACAGTTCACAGTGTGAGTATCAACACATCGTTCTGTCTATCCAAGTGGGAGATGCACATTAGCCCTGCCTCCTATCTGCCATCTTCCTTTGGTCCCAGACAAAAAATATGTCAATTTCTTAAAATGAGACAATTATGTTTGCCATATTAATTGACTCTTTCTTTCATAAAAAATTTTCTCTGTAACATGCAGTGATTTTTGATAGCATCATCCCCACAACAGAACTTCTTTCAAAGTTTTAGTTGATCATCTCAAACCTTGGCACTGTTTTATCAACTAAGTTTCTGTAATCTTCTAAATCAGGTGCTGTCATTTCAACCAAGTTCACAGCATCTTCACCAGGAGTGGACTCTATCCCTGCAAAAATCAATTTATTTGTTTGTTTGTTTGTTTTTTTTAATCTTCCCCCTCTTGATTTTTATTTATTTTATTTTATTTTTATTTTTTTATTTTTTTTAGTATTTATTGATCATTCTTGGGTGTTTCTCGCAGAGGGGGATTTGGCAGGGTCATAGGACAATAGTGGAGGGAAGATCAGCAGATAAACAAGTGAACAAGGGTCTCTGGTTTTCCTAGGCAGAGGACCCTGCAGCCTTCCGCAGTGTTTGTGTCCCTGGGTACTTGAGATTAGGGAGTGGTGATGACTCTTAATGAGCATGCTGCCTTCAAGCATCTGTTTAACAAAGCACATCTTGCACCGCCCTTAATCCATTTAACCCTGAGTGGACACAGCACTTGTTTCAGAGAGCACAGGGTTGGGGGTAAGGTTATAGATTAACAGCATCCCAAGGCAGAAGAATTTTTCTTAGTACAGAACAAAATGGAGTATCCTATGTCTACTTCCCTCTACACAGACACAGCAACAATCCGACCTCTCCATCCCCTCCCCACATTTCCCCCCTCTCTACTCGACAAAACTGCCATTGTCATCATGGCCCGCTCTCAATGAGCTGTTGGGTACACCTCCCAGACGGGGCGGCTGCAGGGCGGAGGGGCTCCTCACTTCTCAGACTGGGCAGCCGGGCAGAGACGCTCCTCACCTCCCAGATGGGGTCACGGCTAGGCAGAGGCATTCCTCACATCCCAGATGGGGCAGCGGGGCAGAGGCACTCACCACATCTCAGATGATGGGCGGCCGGGCAGAGACGCCCCTCACTTCCTAGATGGGATGGCGGCCGGGAAGAGGCACTCCTCACTTCCCAGACTGGGCAGCCGGGCAGAGGGGCTCCTCACATCCCAGATGATGGGCGGCCAGGCAGAGACGCTCCTCACTTCCCAGACGGGGTGGTGGCCGGGCAGAGGCTGCAATCTCGGCACTTTGGGAGGCCAAGGCAGGCGGCTGGGAGGTGGAGGTTGTAGTGAGCCGAGATCACGCCACTGCACTCCAGCCTGGGTAACATTGAGCATTGAGTGAACGAGACTCCATCTGCAATCCCGGCACCTCGGGAGGCCGAGGCTGGCAGATCACTCGCGGTTAGGAGCTGGAGAACAGCCCGGCCAACACAGCGAAACCCCGTCTCCACCAAAAAATTATGGAAACCAGTCAGGCGTGGCGGCGTGCGCCTGCAATCCCAGGCACTCGGCAGCCTGAGGCACGAGAATCAGGCAGGGAGGTTGCAGTGAGCCGAGATGGCGGCAGTACAGTCCAGCCTCAGCTTGGCATCAGAGGGAGACCGTGGAAAGAGGGGATAGGGAGAGGGAGAGGGAGAGGGAGCAATTTATTTGTTTATTCATAAAAAGCGAGTGCTCATCCATCCAAGTTTTATCATGAGACTGCAGTAATTTAGTTCCATCTTTAAGCTCCACTTCTAATTTTATTTATCTTGCTATTCCCACCATATTTATATTACTTTCTCTATAGAAGTGTTGAATCCATTGAAGTCATTCATGAAGGTTGGAATTATCTTATTCCAAACTTCTGTTAATGTAGATATTTTGACCTTCCATGAATCACAAATGTTCTTAATTTGTATCTTGAATGGTGATTTTCTTTCCAGAAGGAATTGCCCAGATCTATCAGAGGAATCATTGCCAATGGCAGATATAGCCCTATGTAATGTTTTTTGTTGTTTGTTTTGTTTTTGAGATGGAGTCTTGCTGTGTCGCCTAGGTTGGAGGGCGGTGGCACAATCTTGGCTCACTGCAACCTCCACCTTCTGGGTTCAAGTGATTCTCCTGCCTCAGCCTCCTTAGTAGCTGGAATTACAGACACATGCCACCATGCCTGATTATGAAATGCTTTTCTTAAATAAGTCTTGGAAGTCAAAAACATTCATTGATCTAGGGCTACAGAATGGATATTGTGTTAACAGGCATGAAAACTACATTAATCTCCTTGCAAATTTTCATCAGAGTTCTAGGTTGACTAGGTGAATTGTCAGTGAACAGTAATATTTTGAATGAAATCTTTATTTCTGAGCAGTAGGTCTCAACAGCGGGCTTAACATATTAAGTAAACCATACGGTAAACAGATGTTCTCTCATCCAGGTTTTGCCACTCCATTTATAGAGGACAGGCAGAGTATAATTAGCATAATTTTTAAATACCCTAGGATTTTCAGAATAGTAGATGAGCACTGACTTAAATTTAAATTCACCAGCTGCATTAGCCACTAACAAGAGAGTCACCTTGTCTATTAAAGCTTTGAAGTCAGGCATTGACTTCCTTTCTCCAGCTATGAAAGTCCTAGATGTCATCATCTTCCAGCAGAAGGCTGTTTTTGTCTACAATGAAAATCTGTTGTTTAGTATAGCCACCTTCTTCAATTATCCTAGCTAGGTCTTCCAGATAACTTGCTGCAGCTTCTCCGTCAGGATTTGCTGATTCACCTTGCATTTTTGTGTTATGAAAATGGCTTATTTCCTTCAACCTCATGAACCAACCTCTACTAGCTTCAAACTTTCCTACCATAACATCCTCACCTCTCTCATTTTTCATAGAATTAAAGAGTGTTAGGGCCTTGCTCTGGATTGGGCTTTTGCCTAAGCGAATTTTGTGGCTGGTTTGTCTTTGATTCAGACTACTGAAATTTTCTCCATATCAGCATGTAATAAGGCTGTTTCACTTTCTTTTTTTTTTTTTTTTTTTTTTTTTTTGAGACGGAGTCTCACTCTTTCGCCCAAGCTGGACTGCAGTGGCGCTATCCCGGCTCACTGCAAGCTCCGCCTCTTGGGTTCATGCCATTCTCCTGCCTCAGCCTCCCGAGTAGCTGGGATTACAGGCGCCCACCACCACGCCTGGCTAATTTTTTGTATTTTTAGTAGAGACGGGGTTTCACCGTGTTAGCCAGGATGGTCTCGATCTCCTGACCTCGTGATCCGCCCGCCTCGGCCTCACAAAGTGCTGACTTTCTTACCATTCAGATTTTTACTGGAGTAACACTTCTAATTTTCTCCAGTAACTTTTACTTTGCATTCGCAACTTGGCTCATTATTTAGTGCAAGATGCCTAGTTTTCAGCCTATTTTGATTTTTGAAGTGCCTTCTTTATTAAGTCTAATCACTTTCTACCTTTTGATTTAAAGTGAGAGACATGAAACTCTATTTGACGTGAATACTTACATGTCATTGTAGGGTTATTAATTGGCCTAATTTAAATATTGTTGTGTCTCAAGGTATAGACAGGCCTGACAAGAGGGAGAAAGATGGGGGAAATGCTGGTAGGTGGAGCAGTCAGAACACATACAACATTTATGTATTAAGTTTACTGTCTTATGTGACCACAGTTTATGGTGCCACAGAACAATTACAATAGTAACATCAGAGACCATAAATGACCATAGCTGATATAATACTGAAAATTTTTTAAATATTATGGGAATTGCCAAAATGTAACTCAGAGACACAAAGTGAGCAAGTGATGTTGGAAAATTGTTACCAATAGGCTTTCTTGATACAGGATTGCCACAAACCTTAAATGTTAATAAACACAGTATCTGTGAAGCACAATAAAGCAAATAACAAAAAACTGAGGTATGCCTGTTGCAATCACATATTGTTTAAAACAGTGAATATATTTCTGAGAAATGTATTCTTAGGCAATTTCTTCATTGAATAAATATTGTAGAATGTATGTACACAAACCTAGATGTTATAGCTTACTACACACCTAAGCTATAGAGTATACCTTATTGCTTCTAGGATACAAACCTGTATGATACATTAGTGAACTGAATACTGTAGGCAATTGTAACACAATAATATATATGTGTACATCTAAACATATCTAAGCATAGAAAAGGTAGAGTCAAAATATAGTGTACAAGATTAAATTTGATACATCTGTATAAGGCTCTCAGCATGAATGGAACTCACAGGACTAGAAGTTGCTCTGGTTGAGTCAGTGAGTGAGTGGTAAGTGAATGTAAAGGCCTAAGTTTGCATTCAACTGCAGACTTTATAAACATTGAACACTTCAGCTGTGCTAAGTTCATTTAAAATATTGTTTTTTCTTGAAAATAAATTAAGCTTGGCTTACTATAACTTTTTTGCATCATAAAATTTTTATTTTTTTCAACTCCTTGACTGATCAAAAATAATACTTAGCTTCAAACACAAAAACACCTCATAGCTGTACAACAATATTTTCTTTGTTTATATGCTTGTTTACAACCTTTTTAAAAATAATTTTTAATGTTTTCATTAGTTTTTAAACTTTTTTTGTTATAAACGAAGACACAAAAATACACTTGATCCTAGGCCTACACAGAGCCAGAATCATAAATATCACTGTCTTCTACCTCCACATCTCAGATTTTCAGGGGCAATTACTTGCATGAAGCTGTCATCTCCTATGATAACAATGGCTTCTTCTTAAATACCTCCTGAAGGACCTGCCTGAGGCTGTTATACAGGTAATATTTTTTATAAGTTACTCTTTCACAATAATACATTGTAAATAATGATGAAAAGTGCAGTATAGTAAACAACAGGCTATAGGAATTTTCAGCTTCATTATAATCTTATGAAATCATCATCATATATGTGGTCCATCACAGACTGATATTACGTGGTTCATGACTGTGAATCTTTTATTCTGACCAGGTTAATCTATTTTGTAGTCAGTCAAGAAAAATTGCTCATTTGTCACCACTAAAACTTTGTATAAGCTAAGTCTCTCCTAACCAGATCTGGTGCTATCTCTCTCTCTCCTTCTAATACTTTTATTACCTCTTAGGGGTTATTGAGATATTATTCTTTTTTCTTAACTTTATTCCCTAAGATGGTTCTTGACTACCTAACAGTCAGTGAACTATTTTGTATTTTCTATAATGCTTAGAATGCTGCTATATGCATAGAAGTTGCATGCAGGTGATTTTTGAAGCTATAAACTCATTAATGGACTACTGTAAATGGTTACTCTGCTTTCAACTCCCTACTACAGCCAATTTATCTCACTTATTTATTCAATTACTAATAGACTCTCCCTTGTGCTATCATGAACCATGTAATAAGTTTCTTCATGGGAGAATAGTTGGAATTAACATTACAGACTCTCCTGTTTTTAGTTTCATTAAGTATTACTTAGAATTTTTCTGCTAATTGGTAAAAACCTTGAGAATTTTTATGCTAATTGATAAAAAACCTTGAAAATTAACATTAGGAATTTGAGCTAATTTCATTGGAAAAATATATGTCATTTCTATTTTTAAAGATGTGAGGAATGGTCCAATAAAATGGTGCCTCAAGATCAACATGTCATGTGGAACAGGGAGAGATGGGAGTAAATGAGCCCAGCTAGGTGTCTACTACAATGCTTATCAGCAATCTCAGAACTGGATATATACCCCCAAAAATATAGATCATTGTACCAAAAAAACACTCACTTTTATGTTCATCACTGTGTTATTCACAATAGCAAATACATAGAATCAATCTATGTGCCTATCAGTAGTGAATTGGATAAAGGAAGTGTGGTCCATATACACCATAGAATACTATTCATCCATAAAAAGAGGAGACCATGTTCTTTGCAGCAACATGGATGGAGCTAAAGACCATAGTCCTAAATGAATTAACACAGGAACAGAAAACCGAATGACCACAGTTTCTGTTTTTTCCATGTTTATGTCCATGTTTATTCAAAGTTTAGCTCTCACTAATAAGTGGGAGCTAAACTACTAGACCACTAGAGGGAGGAGGGAAGAAAGTGGGAGTGAGAGTTGAAGAAATAGCTACTGGGTACTATGCTCACAAATGGAGTCCAATATACCCATGTAACAATTCTACACATGTACCCGCATATCTAAAATAAAAGCTAAAATTAAAAATAAAAGATATAACAGAATCCCTAGGGCAGAGATAAGCAGTGTTAAGAGTTAAGTTTACAGCACTAAATGCCCATATCAAAAAGTTATAAAGATCTGAAATTAACAAGCTGGTATCACACCAAAAACTACAAAAAAAAAAAAAAAAAAAAGAGCAAACCAAACCCAAAGCTGGCAGAAGACAAGAAATAACAAAAATCTGAGCTGAATTGAATGAAATTGAGAGTTGAGATATATACAATAAAAAAATCAAAGGAATAAGAAGTTGTTTCTTTGAAAGAATAAATGATTGATAGATCACTAGCTAGACTAATAAAGAGAGAACTAAAATAAACACAATCAGAAATGACAAAGATGACATTATTACCGACTCAACAGAAATACAAAATAATTCTCAGAGACTGTTACAATCAATTCTATGCAAACAAACTAGAAAATCTACATAAAATGGATGAATTCCTGGAAACATACATCCTCCCAAGATTAAAACAGGAAGAAATTGAAACCCTGAATACACCAATAATGAGTTTGAAAATTGAATAAGTTATAAAATGCCTAACAACCAGAAAAAGCCCTGGACCAGGTCGATTCACAGCCTAATTCTATGAAATGTACAAAGAACAGCTGATACCATTCCTGTTGAAACTATTAAAAAAAAATGCAGAGGAATGACTCCTCCCTAAATCATTCTATGAGGCCAGCTTTATTCAGATACCAAAACCTGGCAGAGACACACAAAAAAAGGAGCACTTCACGTCAAGATCCTTGATGAATATAGATGCAAAACTTCTCAACAAAATATTACCTAACAGAATACAGTAGTACATCAAGAAGCTAAACCAGCTCAATCAAGTAGGCTTTATTCCTGTAATGCAAGGTTGTTTCAACATATACAAATTGTAAATTTACTTCATCACATAAAAAAGAATGAAAAAATCTACATGATAGTCTCAATACATGCAGAAAAGGCTTTCAATAAAATTCAACATCATTTCATGTTAAAAGGCTCTTCTATCTCCTGATGTTTGCAGGCAATCCTTGTATTGATTGACTTGTAGCAGCATCACTCTAATCTCTGCCTCTGTCTTTAAAAGGTCATTTATTCCACATGTGTGTCTTTTTCCTCTTATAAGGACCTCAGTCATTTTGTATTGAGGCCCCATCTTACTCTAGTATAACCTCACCTTTACTTAACTAATTATATCTGTAACAACCCTATTTCCAAACAAGGTCACATACTGAGATGCTGGGTATTAGGACCTAAACATGTCTTTTGTGAGGGCATAATTCAACCCTTAATATCCACTATCCCTTATCCATTGAAATATTTTGTTTTTTTACTTCTCCAGCACTACTTCTAATTCATAGCAATTTTAATTTTTTTTATGTTTCTTTTAAAATTTATTTGCACATTTAAATTGATGGTTTGTTTCAAATTGTTTGATTGTGAAGCTTTTATAATATTTTGTTTGATTTTCAGAAACAGTTCTTTTACTTCAGAACAACAGTACAGAGTGCTAAAGAAAATGCATTGCTGACTTGGCATGGGTTTGCTGTGTGTTCTGTATTCTTATGGATAATCTTTCCAGTCTTCTGTTATCAAAGGTCCTTGAAATATTTTTCAGTGAACGTGTACTTTGTTTCACCTCAGTGATATGGTTAGGCTTTGTGTCCCAACCAAATTTCATCTTGAATTTTAATCCCCAGGTGTTAAGAGAGAAACCTGTTGGGAGGTGATTAAAACGTGGGCAGTTTCCCCCATGCTGTTCTTGTGATAATGAGTGAGTTCTTATGAGATCTGATGGCTTTATAAGTGTTTGGCAAATTCCTCCTTTGCACACTTTGATCCCTCCTGATGCCATGTGAAAAAGGTCTTCGCTTCCTCTTTGCCTTCCTCCATTATTGTAAGTTTCCTAAGACTTCACCAGCCATGTGGAACTGTGAGTCAATTAAACCCTCTTCCTTTATAAATTACCCAGTCTTGGGTATTTCTTTATAGCAGTGTGAGAATGGACTAATACACTCGGTTTCTCGTTTTTATTGTCAAATCCAAGACCTTACTGTCACATGCATCCGTGTGAAGAGACCACCAAACAGGCTTTGTGTGAGCAACAAGGCTATTTATTTCACCTGGATGCAGGTGGGCTGAGTCTGAAAAGAGAGTCAGCAAAGGGTGGTGGGATTACCATTAGTTCTTACAGGATTTGGGATAGTCCGTGGAGTTAGGAGCAATGTTTTGCAGGCAGAGGGTGGATCTCACAAAGTACATTCTCAAGGGTGGGGAGAATTACAAAGAACCTTCTTAAGGGTGGGGGAGATTAAAAAGAACCTTCTTAAGGGTCAGGGAGATTACAAAGTACGTTGATCAGTTAGGGTGGGGAAGAAACAAATCGCAATTGTGGAATGTCATCAGTTAAGGCTATTTTCACTTCTTTTGTGGATCTTCAGTTACTTTAGGCCATCTGGATGTATACGTGCAGGTCACAGGGGATATGATGGCTTAGCTTGGGCTCAGAGACCTGACACTTACCATTATCAGCAAATGTAATGCCTCCATAATCTTGACTTTATACATCCCAGTCTCTGATTATTAAATCTACTTTTTCTAGCCCACTCATCTTAATATTCCAGTTTCAATAATTATACTACTCCACCAAGATTTACAATCTGTTGATTCTAGGAAATTTTCACTGTTTCTCCCCATCGCTTGTTCTCACTTTCCTTCTTCCTAGGGTAAATTTAATGGTCAGTTACAATAATCACTTCTTTGAGTACACTTAGCTTCTTTGCCCTTCTTTCATTTTGTTTAACTCACTTTGCAAAACCACAAGCCTGGTTAAATCTATCTGCCTGAACTCATGAATTCAAACTTATCTGAAGGAAAAGAAACAAAAACACGCTTACAGATCCATTTTAAATTCATAACCATAAAACCAATTGGGTTCTTAAGACTTCTTAGTAATTATACTGTTTTCCTAATCTACTCACTCTTCTACACTTTAAACAACTATTTCACACATTCTCTGAAAAAATTCCTCTTCCTCTTCACTCTCAGCTAATGTCCTTGGTTTATAATACGTGGTGAAAACAAAAAAAATCATCAGAGGAAATATCCCCAAATCTCACCACAAATATCAGATTAACTGCATCTGAACTAATTCACTCTGTCATCCTACTTCTACTGTGGATGAATTGTGCATGTGGACAGCAAATGCCAACAACTGTTGCATGCTCACTTAGTCCCAACCACTCTTTCTTATTTAAGGTCATCACTCCCACAGTTTCCTCCTTTCCATTCTGCATCACATACATTTTCATTTTCTGTCAGGTTATTTGTATTAACACTCAAACATGTTCTATTTTCAATCATAAAAAATAATATTTACCCCCATTTAATGCCACACTTTTCCAGCTACCAGAATTTGCTTTCTACTAAAGCAAAATTCCTTAACAGAAATGTCATGTGCATCCATGCGAAGAGACCACCAAACAGGCTCTGTGTGAGCAATAAAGCTTTTTAATCACCTGGGTGAAGGCGGACTGAGTCCAAAAAAGGAGTCAGCAAAGGGAGATAGGGGTGGGGCAGTTTTATAGGATTTGGGTAGGTAGTGGAAAATTATAGTTAAAGGAGGTTATTTTCTTGCAGGCAGAGGCAGGGGTTACAAGGTGTTCAGTGAGGAGGTTCTGAGACTCATTGTCTAGGAGAAGGAATGTCACAAGGTTAATTGATCAGTTAGGGTGGGGCAGGAACAAATCACAATGGTGGAGTGTCAACAGTTAAGGCAGGAACTGACTATTTTCACTTCTTTTGTGATTCTTCAGTTGCTTCAGGCCATCTGGATGTATATATGCAGGTCACAGGGGATATGATGGCTTATCTTGGGCTCAGATGCCTGACAAGAAATGTCTATACAGACTGTCTCCTCTTCCTTTCTTCCAATTTTTCCTTAAATACACTCTACTCAGAACTTCATATCCACATTTGCATTAAAACCATTGTCAAGTTCATCAATGACATTCATGTTCCTAAATGAAATGGTTAACTTTCAGTTCCCATCTTGACATACTATGTATTTGACACTGGTGATGATTTCCATCAACTTGAAATATTTATTTTTTTTCCATTTTAATTCCAGAACAACGTTATTCTATATTATTTTTTATTCTGATTTCTGTTTTTTTTGTGCATAATTGCTTTTAAGGTTTCCTCCCCATTTCTCTGACCTTAATAATTAGAGTGACCTAGGCCTTAATAACATTCTTTATCTACCCACCATCATGTCTAGATGGTATTAACCTATGTTGTGGCTTTAAATTACATCTCTATGCCAATGGCAACAACATTTATTATCTCCAGTATAAACTTCTACCCTGAATTCAAGACTCATACATCCCATTGTCTTCTCAGCATTCCCTCTTGGATCTCCAGGCATCTCAGTATTAACATACCCCCAAAATCTCCTGATTTCTCCTTTCCAAAAGTTGCTCCTGTATTATTTACCATTTAAGTAAATGACAATTACAAATCTTAGATTTATTATTTACTCACCTCTTTCCCTTACATCTCTTATCCATTTCATCAGCCAAACTCAGCTAGGCTCTACTTCAAAATGTCTTTAGAATCTGAGAATCTGGCTACTTCTCATCACCTTCTACCTATCCTGGCCAAAACTCCCATCATATTTTACCCGAATTATTACATTGACCTACTAAATGTTTCTTCTATCGTGTTTCAGTTTTTTCATCTTATTGTGTCATAGGTCACTCATCTTAATATCCAAGTTTTGATAATTACCACTGTAATTTACAGTAGTAATTCATTTACAGGATTTACAATCTGTTGATACTACCATCTTTTCACTGTTTATCACCATCTTTTGTGAGTTGGTGCAAAAGTGGAGATATCACATTACAGTATCAGAGCCAGATATTATGGGTAATTTCTAGTTAATATAAATAGTGAAAGAAGTAAACTATGTGGAATCCAAATTATGTGGCTCCCCAGGTCCACTTAGCTCTACTTTTCTCCTGGATTTTGTTATTGAATAGTGAAGATTCCCCAGATCCTACCAATGTCATCTCATCTCCTAATAATTTTGATTGTCTTGGATTCATTGAAGTGAGGGCTAAACTCCAAGAAAGTCTCATAACATTTGTTGTAACTTCCTAGTATACCAGTCTGATCTGATCTAACCCTTGGAGTCGATGGCTCTTCCCAGCACTTCTGGACTTAGATGTAGCTGCTAAACTGCAAAGAGCATGGAATCTGGCATCTCCAGTGACTAGAAGGGCAGTGAGTCAAAACACAGAAAAGAGGAAGAATTAACGATCTATGGCTCTGCTTTTCTCTTACAGATAAACTTTTAACGCATGATGATTCACCATGGCATTTTCAGATATCCCGTGTGATCAAGCAAAAAGCTGTTTCCTCATTAAGCCATTGGTGACTTTTTCACACTCATTTTATTTTGTGTCATCTGTCTTTTCCTTACTCTGGATGCCCTGAAATTGCATGATTAATATTCCCATTCCAAGCCGCACCCGAATAAAGCATTAGTACACAGGCTTGTTTTTAATGAATCTCATCTAAGACATCAAAATTGCTGAATATTTTTCCAAATGGTGGAATCATAGATAGTACATGGGTATATTCACTATTCTAACATCTAGCAAAATGAACATTAGAACATTTTATTTTCTATATGGCTTACATTCTCCTCTGGCATTTACTTTGTGAAGTAGATGTGGATTAAATTTATCAATTTTCATGTCCATAGGGAAGAAAATAATAGATTATTTGATACTTTATGATGGAAAAACTTAGGTTACATAGCGAGGTGTCAAGTTCAATATAGGGGGAAATGCTCAGGGCTGCAACTTTTTAAAGCTGTCTCCACAAATTAAGGCATTTCTCCAGGTTTGAAAATTATGAGTTGTTTAGTAAAAATAAATGAGATTATGTTCTTATAACAACTTAAAGATGCTACTTCATTAACTAAAGACAAGAAAATATACCTGTTAAAATCTTGTACGTCTATTACTCATGTAGTTGTTTATTATATCAAGGAGCTTAAGGGCAGAGACTATGGGGTTTTCTAGATATAGAGCGATATCATCTGAAAACAGGGATAGTTTGACTTCCTAATTAGGTGTCTTTATATCTTTCTCTTGCCTGATTGCACTGTCCATGACTTGCAGTACTATGTTCCATAAGAGTAGTGAGAGTGAGGATCTTTGTCTTGTGCCAGTTTTCAAGGGGAATGCTTCTAGGATTTGTCTATTCAGGAAAATGTTGGCTGTGGGTTTGCCATATATGTATCTTATTACTTTAAGGTATGTTCCTTCAATACCTAGTTTGTTGAGAGTTTTTAACATGAAAATATGTTGAATTTTATCAAAAGTATTTTCTGCATGTATTGAGATTATTATGTGGTTTTTGTTTTAGTTCTGTTTATAAGATGAATCACATTTATTGATTTGTATGTGTTGAACCAACTTTGCATCTCAGTAATAAAGCCTACTCGATTGTGGTGGACTAGCTTTTTGGTGTGCTGCTGGATCCATGTTGCTAGTATTTTGTTGAGAATTTTTGCGTCTTTGTTCATCAAGAATATTTGCCTAAAGTTTTATTTTTTTGTTGAGTCTCCTCCAGGTTTTAGTATCAGCATGATGCTGGCCTCATGAATGAGTTAGGAAAGAGTCTCTTCTCCTCAGTTTTTTGGCATATTTTCAGTAGGAATAGTACCAGCTGTTCTTTGTACATCTGTAAGAAATTGGCTGTGAATCCATTTAGTCCTTTTTTTTTTTTTTTTTTTGATTGGTAAGTTATTTATTACTGATTCAATTTTGGCGCTCATTATTGGCCTGTTCAGGGAATCAAATTCTTCCTGGGTCAGTCTTGAGACAGTGTATGTGTCCAAGAATCTGTCCATCTCATCTAGGTTTTGTAGTTTGTGTACATAGAGGTGTTTATAGTAGTCTCTGATGGTTATTTGTATAATATTTCAGTGGAGTAAGTCGTAACATTCCCTTGGTCATTTCTAATTCTATTTATTTGGATGTTCTCTCTTTTCTTGTTAATAGTCTAGTTAGTGGCCTATCTTATTAATTTTTTTCCAAAAAATCAACTCCTGGATTTGTTGATCTTTTTATTGGTTTTTCATGTCTCAATTTTCTTCAGTTCAGCTCTGAATCTGCTTATTTATTGTCTTCTGCTAGTTTTGGAGTTTGTTTCTTGTTGCTTCTCTAGTTCTTTTAGTTGTGATGTTAGCTTGAGATCTTTTTAACATTTTTATGTGGGCATTTAGTGTTATAAATTTTCCTCTTAACACTAACTTAGCTGTGTCACAGAGATTCAGGTTTGTTTTATCATTGTTCTCATTGGTTTCAAAGAACTTCTTGATTTCTGCCTTAATTTCCTTATTTACCCAAAAGTCATTCAGAAGGAGGTTTTTTTTTTTTTTGTATTTCCATGTAATTGCATGATTTCAAGTGATTTTTTTTTTGTCTTCATCTCTCTATTTTTATTGTGCTGCAGTCCAAGAGTGTATTCGGTATGATTTCAGTGATTTTGTATTTGCTGAAGATTGTTTTATGTCTGATTATGTGGTTAATTTTAGAGTACGTGTCATGTGGTGGTAAGAAGAATGTACATTCTATCGCTTTTTAACTACAGAGTTCTGTATATGTCTTTCAGATCGAATTGATCCAGTGCTGAGTTAAGGTCCTGAATATCTGTGATGATTAATATTAAGTGTCAACTTTACTGTATTGATAGATGCAAACTATTGTTTCTGGGTGTGTCTGTGAGGGTGTTGCCAAAAGAGATTAACATTTGAGTCAGTGGACTGGGAGAGGAAGACCACCCTCAATCTGGGTGGGCACCATCCAGTAGGCTGCCAGTATGGCTAGAAAAAGGAGGCAGAAGAAGGTGGAATAAGCTGGTTTGCTGAGTCTTCCAGCTTTCTCCTGTGCTGGATAGTTCCTGCATTCAAACATCAGACTCCAGGTTTTTCAGTTTTTGGACTCTTGGACTTGCACTAGTGGTTTGCCAAGGGTTCTCAAGCCTTTGGCCACAGACTGAAGTCTGCACTGTTGGTTTTCCTGCTTTTGAGGCTTTCAGACTTGGACTAAGCCACTACTGGCTTTTTTGCTCCTCAGCTTGCAGGTGGCCTATGGTGAGACTTCACCTTGTGATTGTGTGAGTAAAGTCTCCTTAATAAATTCCCTTTACTATATACATATATCCTATTAGTTCTGTCCCCCTGAAGAACCCTGACTAATACAATATCTTCGTAATTTTCTGCCTTGATGAGCTGTCTAATACTGTCAGTGGAGTGTTGAAGTCTCTCACTGCTATTGTACGGAAGTCTAAATCTCTGTGTTGGTCTCTAAGAATTTGCGTTATGAATCTGGGTGCTCCTATGTTGGGTACATATATATTTTGGATAGTTAGGTCTTTTGTTGAATTGAACCCTATACTATAATGTAATGTTTTCTTTTGTCTTTTTTTAAATCTTTGTTGGTTTAAAGTCTGCTTTGTCTGAAATTAGAATTGCAACCCCTGCTTTTTTCTGTTTTCCATTTGCTTCATAGATTTTCCTCCATCCCTTTATTTTGAAACTATGAGTGTCATTGAATGTGAAATGGATCTCTTAAAGACAGCATAGCTTTCAGTCTTACATTTTATTCAGTTTGCAACTCTATGCCTTTTAAATGGGGTAGTTAGCCCATTAACACTCAAGGTTACCATTAATATGTGTGGTTTTGATCCTGCCATCATGATGTTAGCTGGTTATTGTGCAGGCTTGTCTGTGTGGTTGCTTTACAGTTATCACTGGTTGTGATGGATAACTGAGTATGAACTTGATTGAATTAAAAGATGCAAAGTGTTGCTCCTGGGTGTCTTTGTGATGGTGTTGCCAAAGGAGATTAACATTTGAGTTAGTGGACTGGGAAAGGCAGACCCACCTTTAATCTAGGTGGGCATAATCTAATCAGCTGCCAGCAGGGCCAGACTAAAAAGCAGGCAGAAGAACATGAAAAGACTAGAATACCTTAGCCTCCCAACCTACATCTTTCTCCCATGCTGCATGCTTCCTGTCCTTGAACATCAGACTCCAAGTACTTTAGCTTTGGAAAATGTACTGGCTTCCTTGCTCCTCAGCTTGCAGATGGCCTATTGTGGGACACTGTGATCATGTGAGTTAATACTCATTAATAAACTCCCCTTTGTGTATACATCTATTATATTGGTTCTGTCCCTCTAGAGAACCCTGACTAATACAGATATTGGTACCAGGAGTGGTTCTAGAGGAACAGAATATTAAGGATGGAGTTCTTTCATTGGTTTTGGGGTTTCTGGAGTTGGCTGCTTAATGTGATTAGACTTCAAAATGCTAAGGACTCTACTTTTAATAGTATGGAGAACACTGATAGTCCTTGGCATGAACTGTTTAGAGAATTATGCAAAATAAATACATTAGACACTCCAGATTCACCACTTGTGAGAGGCAAGGAGTTTAATGACCCTATACATAATACTTTTGACCATATGTGGAGAACCAAAGAACATAATAAAGTTGGTTGGTTGCTCCTAAGTCCACTGGATAAAGTGATGAAAAAAAGATGTTGAACTCAGGGATTCTAACTCCCATCTTCAGAAGTAGATACTGAGCCTCAAATCTTCTAAGAGTGCCCTGAGCAAGAGTCTTATCTCATGTAGAGAAAGAGCTGAAATTGTAGAAAATCTGACACAGGTTCTTAAAATGCAAGTGGCTCACCTGCAACAAAATGTGCATGCACAGCCTTGCCTGGTGTCTACTGTTAAAATGAGGACATTGATTTGTAAAAAATGGGACCCCGCAGCTTGGAAAGGTGATGTATGGGAGGACCCTGATGAAGCTGGGGACACTGAGCTTGTAAACTCCGATGAATCTTTTTGCCAGAAGAAACAGCTTCCCCATCCCCAGTAGTGGCAAGATCCCCTCCAAGACCCATGCTGCCATCAGCCTTTCCACCTTTGTCTGAGGAGATAAACCCTGCACTAACTGAGGCAACAGTGATGGCCTCTCCTGAGGCAGCTGTGAGGCAAGATAATGTTGATTCTCCTCAATACCCACCCCGAACACCCTTGTGTGCTTCTAGACCTATAACTAGATTGAAGTCCCAGTGGGCCCATAGAGGTGAGGTCAGAGTGTGACCCACGAGGAGGTACACTACACTTGAAAAGAACAGCTTGAGTTTTCTAATTTGTATAAGCAGGAATCTAGATAACAGGCATGAGAATGGATATTAAGGGTGTGGGATAATGGTGGAAGGAACATAGAGTTGAATCAGGCTGACTTTTTTGATTTGGGCCCACTAGGTAGGGATTCTGCATTTAATGTTGCACCTCAGGGAGTTAAAAAATATTCTAATAGTTTATTTGCTTTGTTAGCTGAATTATAAATTAAAAGATGGTCCACTGTGAGCGAGCTGGAAATGCCTGATTTTCTCCCTTGGTTTAATGTAGAGGAAGGGATCAAAAGGCTTGTAGAAATTGGGATGGAGGAGTGGATTAGTCACTTTAGACCTACTCATCCCAGCTGGGAGGGTCCAGAAGATATATCCTTGAACAATGCTTTGTGAAATGGATTTGTGAAGGCAGCACCTGCATCTTTGAAGAGCTCTGTATGAATTGCTCTTCTCTGTATGACAGATCTAACAGTGGGAACCACAGTCACTTAACTACAAAATTTAAATGCAATGGGAATAATTGGATACTAAGGTGGCAGGGGACAAGTGGGGACGCTCAACCATCAAAGGCCAGATGGGCATAGCCACCATCATAGACAGCAGGGGAAAAGCAGAAATCAGAATAGTTTGACTCGTATAGAGCTCTGGCATTGTCTAATTAATCACAGTTTCTGTAGAAGTGAAATTCATAGGAAGACGATTGCATCCCTACTTAATTTATGTAAGCAGGAAACTTCCAGGTCAAGTGGACAAAATACTAATTTGAATTATAAAAGCTGAGAGTCACAGCCCCTCAATCAATTTTCAGGTGAGTCAGTTTACAGACCCAGAATCCCTTGAATGGAAGAGAGGCCAGGTCCCCTTGTTGAGGGAGGAACTCACTACACTACCAACAATTTATGCTATTAATCTTTCTCCCATCCTTCCCCAAGGAGACCTCTGGCCTTTTACCAGGGTCAGTCACTGTGTATGGGGAAAGGGAAATAATCAGACATTTTGGGGACTACTGGACACTGGCTCTGAACTGCCATTGATTTTAAGGGACACAAAACAGCATTGCGGTTCTCCAGTTAAAGTAGGGGCTGATGGAGGTCAGGTAATTAGTGGAGGTTTAGCTCAGGTTTGACTTACAGTGGGTCCATTGGATCCTTGGACTCATACTATAGTCATTTCCCTAGTGCCAGAATACATAATTGGCATAGACATACTTAGCAGCTGGCAGAACCCTCCACATTTGCTGCCTGGTTGGTAGGATGAGGGCTATTATGGTGGAAAAGGCCAAATGGAAGCCATTAGAGCTGCCACTTCCTTAAAAAAAAGTAAATAAAAAACAATATTGCATCCCTGGAGGGATTGCGGAGATTAGTGCTGCAATCAAGGACTTGAAAGATGCAGGGGTGGTTATTCCCACCACATACCCTTTCAACTCTTCCATTCTGTCTGTGTAGAAGACAGTTGGATCTTGGAGAATGACAGTGGATTATTGTACACTTAACTAAATGGTGACTTCAATTGCATCTGCTGTAGAAGATGTGGTTTCATTGCTTGCACAAATTAACACATCTCCTGGTACCTGGTATGAAGTCATTGGCTTGACTAACGTCCTCGTGTCCATTCTTGTCCATAAGGCCCACCAGAAGCAATCTGTCTTCAGCTGGCAAGGCCAGCAATATAACTTTACTGTCCTACCTCAGGAGTATATCAACTCTCTGGCTTTGTGTCATAATCTTGTTTGGAGTGACCTTAATTGATTTTCCCTTCCACAAGGTATCACACTCGTTCATTACATTGATGACATTACACTGATTGGATCCAGTGAGCAAGAAGTAGCAAACATACTGGACTTATTGGTGAGACATTTGCATGCCAGCGGATGGGTAATAAGCCTGACTAAAATTCAGGTATCTTCTACCTCGATAAAATTTCTAAGGGTCCAGTGGTGTGGGGCCTGTCAAGATATTCCTTCCAAGGTGAAGGATAAGTTGCTGCATTTGGCCCCTCCTACAACCAAGAAAGAGGCACAATGCTTAGTGGGCCTATTTGGATTTTGGAGGCAACACATTCCTCATTTGGGTGTGTGTTACTCCAGCCCATTTATTGAGTTACCTGAAAGGGTGCCAGATTTCAGTGGGGTCCAGAACTAGAAGAAGGCTCAGCAACAGGTCCAGGCTTCTGTGCAAGCTGCTCTGCCACTTGGGCCATATGACCCAGCAGACTCAATGGTGCTTGAGGTCTCAGTGGCAAATAGGGATGCTGTTTGGAGCCTTTGGCAGGTCCCCATAGGTGAATCACAGCAGAGGCCTGTAGGATTTTGAAGCAAGGCCCTGCCATCTTCTTCAGATAACTACTCTCCTTTTGAGAGACAACTCTTGGCCTGTTACTGGGCTTTGGTGGAAACTGAATGTTTGACTATGAGTCAAGTCACCATGCAGCCTGAACTGCCTATCATGACCTGGGTGCTTTCTGACCCATCTTGCCATAGAGTCGTTCATGCATAGCAGCATTCCATCATCAAATGGAAGTAGTATATACGTGATCGGGCTTGAGCAGGTCCTTAAGGCACAAGTAAGTTACACGAGGAAGTGGCTCAAATGCTCATTATTTCCATTCCTGCCACCCTGCCTTCTTTCCCTCAGCCTGCACCAATGGCCTCATGGAGAGTTTCCTATGATCACTTGACAGAGAGAGAGAGAAATCTAAGGCCTGGTTCACAGATGGTTCTGCATGATATGCAGGTACCACCCACAAGTGCACAGCTGCAGCACTACAGTCCCTTTCAGGACATCCCTGAAAGAAAGTGGTGAAGGGAAATCTTCCCAGTGGGCAGAACTTCGAGTAGTGCACCTGGTTGTGCACTTTTTATGGAAGGAAAAATAACTAGATGTGCAATTATATACTGTTTCATGGGCTGTAGCCAATGGCTTGGCTGGATGATCAGGGACTTGGAAGAAACATGATTGCATAATTGGTGACAAAGAAATTTGGGGAAGAGGTATGTGGATAGACTTTTCTGAGTGGCCAAAAAAAAGGGGATGATATTTGTATCCCATGTGAGTGCTCACCAATGCGTGACCTTAGCAGAAGAGATTTTAATAATCAAGTGGATAGGATGACCTGTTCTGTAGACACTACTCAGCCTCTTTTTCCAGCTTCTCCTGTCATCGTCATCACTCAACGGGCCGATGAACAAAGTAGCCATTGCGGCAGGGATGGAGGTTATGCATGAGCTGAGCAACATGGATTTCCAGTCACCCAGGCTGACCTGGCTATGTCCACACCCAATTTGCCGCAGCAGAGACCAACACTGAGCCCTCAATATGGCCCTAGTCCTCAGGGTGTTCAGCCAGTTATCTGGTGGCAGGTTGATTATACTGGGCCTCTTCCATTATGGAAAGGGCAGAGAGGTTTGTCCTCACTGGAATATACACTTATTCTGGATGTAGGTTTGTCTATCCTACACACAATACTTCTGCCAAGACTACCATCTGTGGACTCATGGAATGCCTTATCCACCATCATGGTATTCCACACAGCATTGTCTCTGACCAAGGCACTCACTTTACATCTAAAAACATGTGGCAGCGGGCTCATGCTCATGGAATTCACTGGTCTTACCATGTTCCCCATCATCCTGAAGCAGCTGGATGGATAGAATGATGGAATGGCCTTTTGAAGTCACAACTAAAATGCCAATTAGGTTATAATACTTTGCATGGCTGGGACAAGGTTCTCCAGAAGGCTGTGTTTGCTCTGAATCCGCATCCAATATATGGTACTGTTTCTCCCATAGCCAGGAATCATGGGTCCAGGAATCAAGGGGTGGAATTGGAAGTGGCAACACTCACCATCACCCCTAGTGACCCACTAACAACATATTTGCTTCCTGTTCCTGTGACATTATGTTCTGCTGGCCTAGAGGTCTTAGTTTCAGAGGGAGGAATGCTGCCACCAGGAGACATAGCAATGATTCAATTAAACTGGAAATTAAGATTGCCACCTGGACACTTTGCACTTCTCCTACCTTTACACCAACAGCCTAAGAAGGGAGGTACAGTGTTGGCTGGGATGATTGACTCAGACTATCAAGGTTCTATCAGTCTACTACTCTGCAACAGAGGTAAGAAAGATTATGCATGGAGTACAGGAGATTCATTAGAGTGTCTCTTCTTATTACCATGCCCTGTGATATAAACTCCCCTTTATATATAAATCTATCCTATTAATTCTATCACTCTAACAAACCCTGACTAATACACTGGTCTTTTTAACCAGGCTGAATTGGATGAAATGACAGAAGTAGAATTCAGAATATGAATAGAAATGAAGATCATTGAGATTCAGGAGAATGACACAACCCAATTCAAGGAAACTAAGAATCACAATAAAATAATACAGGTGCTGATAGATGACATAGCCAGCATAAAAAATAAACTAACTCATCTGATGGAGCTGAAAAACACACTGCAAGAATTTCACAATGCAATGACAGGTATTAACAGCAGAATAGACTGAGCTGAGGAAAGAGTCTTAGAACTTGAAGAGTAGCTGTCTGAAATAAGGCAGTAAGACAAAAATAAAGAAAAAAATGAAAAGGAATGAATAAAACCTCCAAGAAATATGGGATTATGTAAATAGGCCAAATCTACAAATCATTGACATTCCTGAAAGTAAAAGGGAGAAAGCCAACAACTTGGTAAATGTATTTCAGGGCATCATCCATGAAAACTTCCCCAACCTCAATAGAGAGGCTGACAATTAAATTCAGAAAATACAGAGAACCTCTGCAAGATTCTACACAAGAAGATCATCCCTAAGACACATAACCATTAGATGTTCAAATGTTGAAATGAAAGAAAAAATATTAGGGGAAGCTAGGGAGAAAGGGCAGGTCTCCAATGAAGGGAATCACATCAGGCTAACAGCAGACCTCTCAGCAGAAACCTTACAAGCCAGAAGAGAGTGGGAGCCTATATTCAACATGCTTATAGAAAAAAATTTTCAACCAAGAATTTCATATCCAGCCAAACAAAGCTTTCTGAGTGAAGGAGATATAAGATACTTTTATGACAAGCAAATGCTGACCTTGTTTGTTACCACCAGACCCACTATACAAGATATATTGAAAGGAGCACTAATTATGGAAAGGAAAACAATTACCAGCCAATACAAAAACAAACTTGAGTAGTGCAGATGTTGATACAATAGAAAAGAGAAATAACAACTTCGTATTATTGTGAGAGCAACATTGACTTCACAGACACTTAAAAGTCCTTAGCTTCTCCAGGGATCCAGGGACTACATTTGCAGAAACTCAGCTGTAGATACTACCCAAACTGGATCTTGAATAGAGGAGGGGATTCTTTTTTAAGTTTTAGAAATTGCTTATAAAGTCACATTGAAAAATATAATATTTGGTATTTCCAGATCCATTACTCTTGAGATAAAATAAAGAAACTTATCTTTATGTTTTTCTCTTTCTTTCCTATCTACCCTTAACTCCAGGTTTGTGACAGAGGTATCTATTTGTCACTCAAAAAGCACGTCTATTTTCTTTTCTACTAAGTCCTTGATTTTCTTTATTGTTTTAACTTGTACTTATTTAACTTTTATTTCATTTATTTATTACACTTATTTAATTTTATTTTGGTTTGTTATATAGGTACATTTTGTGTCACAGAGGTCTGGTGTACAGATTATTTCATTACCCAGGTAATAAGCTAGTACCCAATAGGTAGTTTTTCAATCCTCACCCTCCTATCACCCTCCACCCTCAAGTAGGCCCCAATGTCTGTTTTTCCCTTCTTTGTGTCCATATGCCTCTGTAAGGTTAGCCGAGAGAAACTAAAAATAGACCCGAAGTCAGGCAAGCAAGTTTTTATTAACCTGCCGGCTGCCCCCTTAACAGTCAGAGAGGAAGAAGCCCCAAGCTTACAGAATGAGGGGTTTACATTGGGGAGGGTCGTTTGAGGGAGTTCTTTGGTATGGCCGCATCCCGGGGTTGTTTGCTGGTTAATTTTGTCACATATCACCTTGTGACGTTTATGGTAGCAGCTAGATGAAGAACAGGAACTTACAAGGAGGTGTAGGTAAAGTTTGTTTATGCTTTCCACGACCTCCCCCTGTGCTGTAGGAATGGTTTGTAATTGGGGTTTGCTTATCGCAGCAAGGTCTGATAAGTGAAGTCTGCTGGTTTCACCGCTTAAGGGCTGAGAAATGTAAAGAAGCTTGGGGGAAGGGTGGGCGGCACGGAGAAGAGTTGCAGAGCGTTAGGTGGAGGGGTGGGCAGCACCAAGAAGCTTTCTTAGGGCAGTTTGTCCCTAACATACTCAATGTTTAGCTCCTACTTATAAGTGAGAAAATGCAGTATTTACTTTTCTGTTCCTATGTTAGTTTGCTTAGGATAATGGCCTCCAGCTCCATCCATGTTGCTGCAAAAGACATGTTCTCATTCTTTTTAATGGCTGCATAGTATTCCATGGTATATATAAACCACATTTTCTTTATCCAGTCTCCCACTGATGGGCATATAGGTTGATTCCCTGTCTTTGCTATTGTAAATAGTGCTGTGATGAACACATGCATGCATGTGTCTTTATGTTGGAAGAATTTATATTTCTTTGGGTATATCTAATAATGGAAATACTGGGTTGAATGTTAATTATGTTTTAAGTTTTTTGTAAAATGGCCAAACTGCTTTTCTAAATGACTATACCAATTTACATTCCTACCAGCAGTGTGTAAGCATTCCTTTTTCTCTGCAACCTCACCAGCATCTATTATTTTTTGACTTTTTAATAATAGCCATGCTGGGTGATGTGAGATGGTATCTCATTTTGATTTTGATTAGCATTTCTCTAATAATTAGTGATGTTGAGCATTTTTTCATATGCTTGTTGGCCGTTTGTATGTTTTCTTTTGAAATGTGTCTGTTAATGTCCTTTGCTCAATTTTTAATGCAATTAAAAACACATAAAGTATGAAGCCTTAGAATAAAAATTATAATCAAGGTAAAATGCAGTGAAGATAATTAATATCCACAAATGTACACTACTTCATTCTGACTTTTATACATTTAATAAGCACTCATGGAGTACCTTTTTGTGTATGATACTGTGGCAAAGCAAAAGATAGTTATATAGGCATGAAAACTAAGTATTTTTCTCAAAACATTTTATTCAGTGAGTTTCATGCGCGTCCGTGTGAAGAGACCACCAAACAGGCTTTGTGTGAGCAACATGGCTGTTTATTTCACCTGGGTGCAGGCGGGCTGAGTCCGAAAAGAGAGTCAGCAAAGGGTGGTGGATTATCATTAGTTCTTATAGGTTTTGGGATAGGCGATAAAGTTAAGAGCAATGTTTTGCGGGTAGGGGTGGATCTCACAAAGTACATTCCCAAGGGTGGGGAGAATTACAAAGAATCTTCTTAAGGGTGGGGGAGATTACAAAGTACATTGATCAGTTAGGGTGGGGCAGAAACAAATCACAATGGTGGAATGTCATCAGTTAAGGCTATTTTTACTTCTTTTGTGGATCTTCAGTTACTTCAGGCCATTTGGATGTATACGTGCAAGTCACAGGGGATGCGATGGCTTGGCTTGGTCTCAGAGGCCTGACAGAGAGAAAGTGAAATGTACTAATAGAAGTATTATAATAGGTATAAATTTAGTTATCAATTATCTTGGTGAAATATTCAAAAATGGATTAATTTTTAGAAAATTAAGAAAAGCTTTTGTTTTATTATGTGTTAGTAACTGTTCTGTAGACTAAACATGAATTATTTTATTTGCTTCTGATCACAATTTTATGAGGAAATACTGCTATTCTTCCCATTTTACATACAGGAAAACCAAAGCATAGTGTGGCTATTTAAACTTACTTTAGTCTGACTCTGAAGGTTGCATGTTTAATCATTATGTAAGACTTCAGCATTAAAACTAACGGTACAGTTTTTGCTTTTGTGGCCTGAGATTGTTCTGTAATAAATAGAAAATCATTACCAAGGGCCAATGTACAGGAGCTGTTTCTCTATGTTCTCTTCTAGGAGTTTTATAGTTTCTTATATTTGTGTCATTTTTAGTAGATTTTTGTGTATGTTACAAGGGTTCAATTTCATTCTTTGGAGTTTGAAAATCCATTTTTCCTAGTACCATCTATTGAAGAGACTATTCTTTCCTCATTGCATCCTCTTGGTGCCTTTTTCAAAAATTAATTGACTGTGTATATTTTATTTCCAGGCTCTCTATTCTGTTCCATTAGTCTGTGTCTGTTCTTATGCAAGTACTACACTGTTTTGATTACTATAGCTTTGGAATGTTATATTAAATTAGGAATTGTGATGCTCTCAATTTTTTTTTCTTTCTTGAAATTGTCTTGCATATTTGGAGTCTATCACAGTTCTCAACAAATTTTAGAAATTTTATTTTTTTTCTGTAAATAATATAATATGGTTTGGATCTGTGTTCCAACCCAAATCTCATGTCAAATTGTAAACCCCAATGTTGGAGGTGGGGCCTAGTGGAAGGTAATTGGGTAATGAGAGCAAAGTTTTCATTAATGGGTTAGCTTCAGCCCCTCAGTGCTGTTCTCATAATAGTGAGTGAGTGAATTATCATGAGATCTGGTTGTTTAAAAATGTGTAGCACCATCCCCATCTATCTCTCTTCCTCCTACTCTGGCCATGTAAGACATGCCTGCTTCCCCTTCACCTTCTGCCATGATTGTAAGTTTCTGAGACCTTCTCAGTACCAGAAGCCACTATGCATCCTGTACAGCCTGCAGAACTGTGAGCCAATTAAACTCTTTTGTTTATAAATTATCCAGCTTCAGGTATTTCTTTATTGCAGTGTGAGAAAAAACTAATACTAAAAATTGGTACCAAGAATTGGGGCATTGCTACAAAGATAACTGAAAATGTGGAAGGAGCTTTGGAACTAGGTAATGAGCAGAGGTTGTGAGAGCTGGGAGAGCTCAGAAGAAGATAGGAGGATGAGAGAAAATTTAAAACTCCCTAGAGACTGGTTAAGTGGTTGCAACCAAAATGCTGATAAAGATATGGACAATAAAGTCCAAGGTGATGAAGTCTCAGATGGAGATGAAGAAGATATTGGGAATAAAAACAAAGGTAACTTTTGTTATGTGTTACCAAATAACCTGGCAGCATTGTGGCTCCGCTCTAGGGATCTGTGGAACTTTGTGCTTGAGAGTAATGATTTAGGTTTATCTGGAGGAAGGAGTTTCTAAGCATCGCAGTGTTCAAGATGTGGCCTGGCTGCCTCTAACAACCTATGTTCATATGTGTGAGGAAAGCAAAGACCTAAAACTCGAACTAACATTTAAAAGGGAAGTAGAGCATTAAAGTTTAGAAGATGTGCAGCCTGGCCATCTGGTAGAAAAGAAAAGCCCATTTTTTTAGGGAAGGAATTCAAGCAGGCTGTAAAAATTTGCATAAGTAAAAAGAATCCAAATGTTAATAACCAAGACAATGAGGAGGCCTCAAAAACATTTCAGAGACTTTCCCGGTAGCCTCTCCCATCACAGGCCCAGAGACCTAGCAGAGAAGAATGTTTTTGTGAGCCAAGACCAGGACCCCACCACACCGCATATCCTTGGGACACTGCTTCCTGCGTCCCAGCCACTCTATCTCCAGCCATGGCTCAACAGGGCCCAGGTACAGCTTGAACTGTTGCTTCAGAGGGTGCAAGCCATAAGCTTTGGCAGCTTCCACATGGAGTTAAGCCTGCAGGTGAGCAAAGTGCAAGAGTTGAATGTTGAGGGCCTCTGCCTAGATTTCAGAGGATGTATGGAAAAGCCTGGTTGTCCTGGTCTGCAGGGGAAGACCCTTTATGGAAAACCTCTACTAGGGCAGTGTGGAAAGGAAATGTGGAGATGGAGCCTCCACATGGAGCCACCACTGGGGCACTGAATAGTGGAGCTCTGAGAAGAGGGCCACCATCTTCCAGAACCTGGTATTGTAGATCCACTGGAAGACTGAACATTGTGCTTGGAAAATCTAAATGCACTCAATCCAGACCATGAGAGCTGCTGAGGGTGCTGATCCCTTCAAAGCCACAGGGTCAGAACTGACCAAGGACTTGGAAACCCAACCATTGCATCTGTGTGCCCTGGAAGTGGGACATGAAATAAAAAGATATTATTTTGGAGCTGTAAAGTTTAATGACTGCTCTGCTGGTTTTCAGACTTGCATGGGGCCTGTAGCTTCTTTCTACTGGCCAAGAAATGTCTGTCATTTAGATTGAAAGTATTTATCCCATTGTATCTTGAAAGTAACTAACTTTTTTCTACTTTACAGGCTTATGGGTAGAAGAGACTTGCCTTGTCTCAGATGAGACCTTTGATTTTGGACTTCGGAGTTAATGCTGGAATGAGGTAAGACTTTGGTGGACTGTTGGGAAGGCATTACTGTATTTTGAAATGTGAGAGGGACATAAAATTTGGGAGGGGCCGGGGGTGGATTGATATAGTTTGGATCTTTGTTCCCACCCACATCTCATGTTGAATCATAATCACCGATGTTGGAAGTGGGGTTTGGGGGGAGTGATTGGATTATGGGGGTAGAGTTCTCATAAATGGGTTAGAACCATTCCATCAGTGCTGTTCTCGTGATAGTGAGTGAGTGAGTTATCATGATATCTGGTTGTTTAAAAGTGTGTAGTACCTCCCACTTCTCTCTCTCTTTCTCCTGCTCAGGCCATGTAAAATGTACCTGCTTCCCTTTCACCTTCCCCCATAATTGTAAGTTTCCTGAGGCATCCCCAGAAGCAGAAGCTGCTATGCTTCCTGTACAGCCTGTAGAACCATGAGGCAATTAAACTTCTTTTCTTTATAAATTATGCAGTTGTAGGTATTTCTTTATAGCAGTGTGAGAATGAAGTAAAACAGGATGTCAGTGGGATTTTAGTAGGTATTGCATTGTTTCTGCATATAGTTTTGAGTAATGTAGACATTTTAAAAATGCTAATTCTTCCAGTGCATGAACATGGGATATATTTCCATTTATTTGTGTCTTGAATTTTTTCATCAGTGCTTTGAGGTTTTCAATCTAGAGATCTTTTACCTCTTGGATTGAATTTATTCCTAGGTATTTTTTTTCATATGCTATCATAAATGAGATTGTTTTCTTGACTTATTTTTCAGTTAGATTATTATGTATTTATTAAAATGCTACTGATTTTTATATGATTTTGTATCTTGCAACACTGTAACATTTGTTATTAGTTCTAAGAATTTTTATGTGATTTGTTTTTCATTTTTTTATATATAAAATTATGCCATCTGCAAAAAGAGATAATTTTGCTTCTTTCTTTTCAGTTTTGATGCCTTTTCTGTCTTTTTCTCATGTGATTGTTCTTGCTAGTACTTCCAGTATTATGTTGAATAGAAGTAATGACAGTTGGCATTCTTGCTTTGTACTGAATCATAATGGAGAAGACTTCAGGTTTTTCTCCATTAGTTAGAATATTATCTGTGTGTTTTCATAATTGGCTTTTATTTTATTGAAGAAGTTTCTTCTATACTTAAATTGTTCAGAGTTTTTAACAATAGAGTGGTGGACTTTATTGAATGCTTTTTTCATGTCAATTGAGATGATCATGTGGTTTGTGTCTTTCATTCTGTTAACGTGGTATATCCCGTGAATTGATTACATATGTTAAACCACTCTTGAATACCAGGAATAAATTCCACCTGGTCACAGTATGCAATTTTTTTGATGTGTTGTTGAATTTGGTTTGGTAATATTTTATTGAGAATATTTGCATCAATGTTTCTCAGAGAAATTGGCCTAAATTTTATGTGTGTGTGTGTGTGTGTGTGTGTGAGAGAGAGAGAAAGAGTGTGTGTGTGTGTGTGTGTGTGTGATGTCTTTGTCTGGCTAGGATATCAAAGTGATATTAGCCTGCTAAAATCTGTTTGAAATTATGCTCTCTAGCTCTATTTTTTGGAATATTTAAGAAGTATTGTTATTATACTTTGAATGCTTGAATGTTCTTTGAATGTTTGGTAAAATTCAGCTGTGAAGCCATTTGGTTCTGAGCTTTTCTTTGTCAAGAGTTTTTTTGATTACTTCTTCAATATCTTTATTTGTTATTGGTCTGTTCAGGTTTTCTCTTTTTCCCTGATTCAATCTTAATAGGTTGTATTTTTCTAAATGGAACTATATCAAACTAAAAACCTTCTGCATAGCAGAGGAAATACTCAAAAAATGACATGGAAAACTATAGATTGGGAAAAATATATCTGCAATCCACATATATGATAAAGGAATAATATCCAAAATTTACATATAACTCATAAAACTCAATAGTGGAAAAACAAATCACACAATTTTATAGAATGGGAAAAGACCTGAATAGATATTTTTCCAAAACAGACATAAAAATAGCCAACAGGCATTTTAAAAAGTGCTAAACATCATTAATTATCAGGGAAATGCAAATCAAAATCACTATGAGATACCACTTCACACTCATTAGGATGGCTACTATTAAAATGTCAAAAGACAACAAATGTTGGTGAGGGTGTGGAAAAAAGAGAATTCTCATACATTGCTGGGGAGAATATAGATTGGTACAGCCATTATGGAAAACAGTATGGAGGTTTCTAAACATAGCCATAATACCCAGCAATCACTCTTCTTGGCATATATCCAAAGGAAACAAAATCATTACATAATAAAGACACCTGCAATCTCATGTTTATTGCAGCATTTTTTACAATAACTGATGTATGGAATAAACCTAAGTGTTCATCAATGAATAAATGGATAAAGAAACTGCATCACATATACACAATGGAATATTATTTTACACTTAAACAGAACAAAATATTACCATTTGCCACAGCATGGATGAGCCTGGAGGACAGTATTCTAAGTTAAATAAGCCAGATACAGAATGAAAAATATTTCATTATCTTACTAATATGTGAAATCTAAAAACAAATTCAAATACACAGAGATGAAGAAATGGGGAGATGTGGGCCAGAGGATACAAAGTAGGAATTATGTAGGATTAACAAGTTTAAAATCTAATGTGCAACATGAGGAGTACTGGTGATAAAACTGTATTGTATATGGGATTCATAATAAATGAGTAGGTTTTATCTGCTCTTGACACGAAAACAAAAAAAAAGATAATGGGTAACTATGTGAAATGATTGAAATGTCATTTGCCTCACTAAAGTTACCTTTTAAAACTATCTATATGTATCCCATAACATAATGTCATATACTTTATATATACACAGTAATATTTATTTTTAAAAATCATAGAACAAATTAAGAAACAGAAATTGTGCTTCTTTTGTCTTCCTCTGTTTAAAAATTTAACCAACCATGCAACAAACAGATGAAAATTATCTTCTAATATATATTTGGAAAAGCAGAAATAAAGTTTAATATCAGACAACATTAAATACAAAAGCAGACCCAACTAAATATATTCTGTTTATATGTTGTAATTTAAGCATGATGGTACTAATAGGTGATAGTAAAAAGGTGGAAAAAGAAATTCTATGAAAAAATAAATATAAAATCATTTCCAAGGCTATATTAATATCAGAAACAGGATTAGTAAAAGGCTCATGTGCACTGTTGATTTACAAACTATGGAAATATCTTCAATACTCTCTCAAAAATATAATGAATATTTACACAATTAACTTTGCTTATTTAGCAAGAAAAAATTGATATTCATGTTGTGGGATTTGGGCCTTTCTACTATTGAAGCTGTTAACTTTGGGTTTTATAACACTGGTGTTTTCAGTGCACTTGTGAACTGGTAAAGACAGCCACACACTTCATTATTTCTTGGCTATGCATTCATATGTGTACCTCCCATTTGGAGAGTTAATTTTCTCGGGGATAATTTCACAACAGTTTTATACAAAATTCTTGAAATATTTATGTGAATGAATTGCTAAATAAAAATTACTCTAGCATTTTTGACAGTAGGGAACTTTCCCAATACTTTCCGAAAGCATGAAGAGTCCCAGAACTCTTTTTGTTTTTTTTTTTTTTTGGGAGACGGAGCCTCGCTCTGTCACCCAGGCTGGAGTGCAGTGGCGCCATCTCGGCTCACTGCAAGCTCCGCCTCCCGGGTTCACGCTGTTTTCCTGCCTCAGCCTCCTGAGTAGTTGGGACTACAGGTGCCCGCCACCACGCCTGGCTAATTTTTTTGTATTTTTAGTAGAGATGGGGTTTCACCGTGTTAGCCAGGATGGTCTCGAACTCGTGACCTCGTGATCCTCCTGCCTCGGCCTCCCAAAATGCTGGGATTACAGGCGTGAGCCACCGTGCCCTGCCGAAGAGTCCCAGAACTCTTAACCATGTTATTTCTTTCTATATCTTTCATTTCCTCCTCAGCGACTACATGCCAAACCATTGTATGGCAAAGGACACTGACAATAGGGCCTGCTAGAAAACTGACTGAAGAACAGAATGAGAAAGACTTTCTTCCTGTTCCCCCATGTGTGGAGAAGTATGTGGGAAGATTCTTAACACCTTAAATAAAAGTCTTAAATTCTTTCGAGGATGTAGCAATTCATATTTAAGATAAGATTTGTTGATAGAATAATTTCATTTTCAAGTTGCCCTGTGTGTTTGCATGTTATGTATGTGTACATGTGCATGAGTGTAAGAGGATGGAAGAGTTCTCCAACAACCTGACATGAGGTTAACTAGCTACCCACAATGCCTGAAAACAAATCACTACATATTTTGCAAATCTGGGCTAAATGTGATGGCAATTCTTTTGGAAGGGAAGAATGCTGATGGAAAGGTTATATAGGCTTCATGCTTTTTTCACTAATGGCTAGAATGACACATACGTACTCTCTTCCTGCATCCAAGGAGGAAAAAAAGGAAGGAAAAACTAATCTAGTAACAGAGGAATAAAATAATGTTGGGTGTATTAAATTTCCCGATTAAAATAGCTTTTTCACAGCTTTGAATAAAATCACTCAACTCATATTATTATTAATAAAAAATATTTTCTCTACATTTATTGGCCTAAGTTATTTGCAATATTTAACATAGTTTAATGCTTCCTAATACAGCTTTGTTCATATTTTTTTCAGAAAAGCTTAGAAAAACTTTACTAAAATTAGTCATTAGATATATACTTGCAAATCCATTGTCTTTAAACAGATTTGCTTGTGTTCTATCTCAGGTGATTTCCTTGGTATGCTATTACAAATAAATAAAAGTCTATGCTATGCAAGCAATCCTGATGGAAGTTTGACATTAATATTCGCCCTACTTTTGCAGTCATTCAGAACTCATGTTTTGCAACTCTAATTGGAACTTGAAACTCAGGCTGGAAATTTTATTTTCTCAAATTAGCATTTACCAGGTTTCAATGTGTTTTGAAGCTTGAAAAATGACACTATGTATTTCTGATTGCATTAGACAACTTTTCAAACAAATGTATAAAATTATTTATGCTCCATTTCTCCCCACACTTTTTAAAATTTAATTTTTTATACAACGGGTTGTATTTAAGAATAAATACAAGGTGCAAGCAAAGTGCTTTACATTTGATGTAAAACCTTGAACCCTTCAGGTTGAAATGAACTTTTAATTGGTAAAGGGGAATTTTTCATATACAATCTAGAATAATATAGAATTTTGAAATAGTTGCAAGACCTACCATTTAAAAGTGTCATGCTGTTCTAGGCATTGTGAGTTATAGATTGTTATCATTTTCATCTGAGGACACTCAGGTTCAGAGTTTAAGTAGATTGTGTTCATTTCTAATATGAATGTATGTTACTAGTTATGGCATAGATTGGAAATTATTCTATTGGTTTTATATACAAGGACAACTTTCTATGTTAAATACAATGTTGAGAAAGCCACCAATATTTGTGAAAGCAAATTTAAAGCTATCAATTGATTCATTTCATAGTAAAACCACTGTAAATTGTAAGGTATGCATTTCAAACATGAAGAAAGTCCTTGGCTGTAACTTATTATGATCCATATACCAAAACTTGTTGCCAACCAAAAGAAACAACCCACAAACACAAAGATCATTGGTGTGAACATATGCTGAACAATTTGATGTTACTGGAAACTTCTTTAACATTCCATAGCTTATTAAAGCATCTCTATTTGAGTGACTAAAGATCTGTATGAATTTCAGCAATTCAAATTGGAACACATAAGAAGAAATTTGATTCCAGTTTTACATATATTAATATTAGTATAATTCATTTCGGGTTAAATTCACCCTAATATTTTCAAGAAAGGATAGCTCCTACAATTCCTAAAATTCTTTTTTCTGATCATTTCTCCTAGCTTACCTTCTTTGTTTCTTTTAGAACTTCCTTGATTATCCTGGATTTTTGTGTAATCCTAGCTTGCTATGTAGGTAATCTTAGTTAGTCATTCTGGTCTAGATTTATGGCCTTTGACCCTTTGGACATATAAATGATTGATTACATGGTTTGGGGGTCCAATACAAAATGCAAAATGTGGAGTCTGTTGTTAAAAAATTATTCAGAATTTCCGGACAACAAGTGCATTAAAGTGCTGAATCCTTTTAAGCCTAGTGCCTGTATAAGGGAACAAGTTGCATGCTTGTGAGGCCAGCTCTAGACCTATATAATAGTTATGAGTTTTTCCACTAGGATCAGGGAAGGGTTTTGGATTGGTCCATAATTAAACACAGATTAGTGACATTCAGTTGCATTTTTCATGTAAACAATTACATATTATAACCTGCCAATGTTATTATCAGCCTATGTATATATTTATTTCAAATTTATCAGAGTAATACACTTCAAGAATCAATTTTTTTTCAGGCCACTAAGGTGCTACTTGTTGATTCTGCTATATTAAAATGTCTTTTACATGTTAAAACACCTTTTGCATCATGTTATTTTCCATCAAGAAAAAATAAACTAGATACAAAAAATAAGGGAAAAAAGTCAGACCTCAATATAATAAAGAACAAAGTGTACAAGAATTGACAAAAAGCATATTTATAATGGCAACTTTTTTTTTTTAATAACTCCTCTTCTTTTTTGAGACAGTGTCTCCCACGGTCGTCTAGGCTGCAGTGCAGTGGTGCCGTCTAGGCTCACTGTACCTCCACCTCCTGGGCTCAAGCTATCCTCTTACCTCAGCTTCCCGAGTAGCCAACTAGCTGTGACTACAGGTGTATGCCACTATGCCCAGCTAATTTATTTTTATTTTTATTTTTTGTAGAGATAAGGTCTTCCTATTGATGTCCAGGGTGGTCTTGAACTCCTCAGCACAAGTGATCTGCCTGCCTCAGCCTCCCAAAGTGTTTTGTGTATTTTTTTAAATAACTTAATGGCCTAGTGAGATTATTCAAACATAAATCCTATTTCAAATTTAGTAAAGCTTAGAAAACAAAGAATGGTTGATTCACTTTACCTGAAAATTATAATAATCATTACACATAATTTTTATTTACAAATCATTTACCAGAGTGGATGAGAATATGGTATATAAGATTTTTTTAAATTTTTATTAAAATAGCTAACAAATAAAAAATGACATTTATGTATTATTGTTTTAAAACTGTTTCAAATTTGACCAGGTATTTTGACCATATATATATTTAAGATTTTCTTAAACAGGCTATATTTTTTACCTGATGAGTTGAAATCTGATAAATTTATACTAATCTATTAAAGTGTATTACATTGGTGAGAGGTATTTTACCACACCAAAATGTCAATTGACGAAAGCATTTGGAGGGGGTACATATATTTGTGTATTTATCTTTTTAAATATGATCTGGACCAGTAGAAGTCAAAGAATAATGTCCATGATATTGTGTAATTAATTTAAGTCTTCTTAAACACCACAATTTGTTTTTAGGGCTTTAATCATTTCTTATTTTTAAAACATAGTAATTAGACATCCATAAATTTACATGTAAAAACTATAATGAAAAAGTTTCCTCAAAATTGTAAACCAGGAAAAAGTGATATTTTTATGTTAGAGATAATAGCAAAGGTTTATCTTCTGAAGAAGTTTCCTACCACATTTTTCTACAAACAAGAAAACTACAATTTGTGAATTTTGGTCTTGTCTTCTCAAATAGCTTAAGCAAAACTCAGGGTAATGTTTGTCTTTAAATAGCAGAATGTTACTTACTTAGAACATATCTACCTTTATACTACCCAGTTAATGAGTTCTTGTCCTGTTTTTCATTCATATTTATATGAAGGGATGTTTTTCTTAGAATTTTGTATTTTTTTTAAAAATGTAAGATTGAAATATGTTCACTCAACAACATATAATAATTTTTTTCCAAACAAATTCTTATGAATCAGCTAGTAGGTTACAATAATTCTGGAACTTTACAGATCAAAAATATTAAAGCAGAAAGCACTCACAAGTTATCTAAAAAAAAAAAATCAATAACTGAATGGCACAAGTATTATTGCTGTTCTGTGTGGATGCTTACTTCAACCAAACAAAAAATACTGGAAATGCAAAGCATGATACAGTACTGGACTATTAGTAGAGGTTGGTCCTTGATGTAACTAATATTTTTATGTGCTTGCATGGTAAGACCATTATAAATCATGCATGAAAATTAACTCTTTATGGGTCAGTATTAATTGAAACTAAAGACCTGAGATTGAATTTGTTGATGAAACCCTTGGCTTAAATACACACAAGAGCAATTAGGCTAAGGAATTAGAAGATCTTGAAGCTTTGCTTTTGTTATAAAACACAACTTTTACATGTGAAGCTTTTTACCAGAAATTGTAGCTATTATGTCTAAAAGTTTGGCTTGAACTTGTGAAACCAGTTGTCAAACTAGTTGTCACTAGTCAATGTTGTTTAGAGAAGCTATATATATATATATGCAAATTGCCCTCCACCCTTCTAATAGTCTAAAGTTACACTCTCTGTTTCTTGATAGCGACTTGCAAGGGTTTTTATCAACATTTTATCTGATGTTAAAGACCAGACATCTGCTTTTCTTCAACAACAGCAAGATTGAGAACTTGTGTGAAGTGGAGGATAAGAGAGAGAGAAAGAAGAGCAAACAGAAGAGAAAGATTATAAGGAGAAAGAGAAGGAAAAGGGAAGTCAAACAAAGGGTAAACAGTACAAAATAAAATAAACCTGTACCTTTTCATTTTACTGTTTCTTCAGCCTTCATATTTCTTATTTTAAAATTTTAGTTATTTTGCAATAGGTAACAAATTCATAATTCACATTTTAAATGATGAAAAATAGAACATACTAAAAGTTCTCCTTGCCAACCCCTAATCACCAGATATCCAGTTACTCTCCTAGAGGCCATCAGTATTATTTGGTTGGGGTATTCTTCCAGAATTTATTTATGCATATACAAGTATAATATCATTGATACTGTATTTTTGTTGCTTTCTATTTCTTTACGTAAGTTTAGTTTTTATACACATTATTCTGTATCTTTCTCTGTCATATAATAATTTCATGGAATATTTCTATATCAGTGTATAAAAAGCATACTTACTATCTTAGTACAATTATAAGCATTCTGTTTATGAATATTCACAAATTTCACATATCTGTGTGACCAAGTACTTATATAAAGATACAGAACATTATTAGAACCCTATAAGACCTCCATGTATCTCCTTCCAGGCACTACCCACTAAAAGTTGACACTACTAATAAGTGGCTTTACTATTAAAATAGTCTTTTAAAAGTGTAATATGAAAGTTAGTAAAAATAAGTTGCAAAGTAACATTAATGAATATAACATGTTTTATCTGAACAACAAAAATTGCAAAAATCTAAAAGTCTTCAGAGTTAGTAGCACATTATTTGAAATCAATTATTAATACAATCCTAGTCACACATGGAGATTTCATAAACGCAACAATTATTCAAGTTACAAAAGTTTCATGTTCATAAACAGATACATAATCTTATTAAAGCTGTAGTTCATTCAATATCTATTAGCTAATGGATTTCATTGTTATTACCATAAGGTTCTGGAAGTTGAGTATTCATTTAGTATTAATGAACCTCAAGTTCACATCAAATTTTGTGGGAAATTTTGTAAATTGACATCAAGTTTTTATTCATTATCTGGTCAATGCTTGGGAAAGGAAAAGTGGCAGAAAGAATTGCAGAAGTAGGTGGAAAGTAAAAAAAAATGAATCGAAGATCGTATCAGAGAAGTTTGTAAATATAGAGTAAATGGCTACCTTTATAATCAGTTTTAACCATTTCCCAAAATATCTTCTTTTAAAATCTTTTTTTCATGTATACTGAAACTCCCGATGTTATAGTCAAGTCACACTGTGTAAAAGAATACATATAATCCTGGAGTGGGTAAACATAGTGATCTATTAATATCAGTGTCACAGATTTTACATCAAATAGTGTATCAGTTTGGTTAGCCTCAAAGAACAAGATTCAGATGTATAAGATACATACATTTTTATTTTTGTTTCAAAAGTAATACATGCTTCTTGCTGAAAATCCAAAATTTTCAAATACATAGCAAAAAATAGAAATTCATCCATTTCTAATTCTACTCCACCGGAATAAACACTGTTAACATTTTTAAATATGCATGCTTGCAGACCCTGTTTCTACCAGTATGCTTTTATACGTGTGTATGCACACACACACATACACTCACAGTATTTTTACAGGAATAGTTTTATATTTTAAATATTCTCTAAACTTGTTTTTGTTACCCAGCAATATCATGGATATAATCCACTGCCCAAATATATGGGTTTACATTTTTCTCATTTTAATTAATTAATTAATTTATTTATTTATGTATTTTTTTTGAGACAGAGTCTCACTCTGTCACCCAGGCTGGAGTGCAGTGGTGCCCTCTCGGCTCACTGCAAGCTCCGCCTCCCGGATTCACGCCTCAGCCTCCTGAGTAGGTGGGACTACAGGTGCCCACCACCAAGCCCAGCTAGTTTTTTCTATTTTTAGTAGAGACGGGGTTTCACCGTGTTACCCAGGATGGTCTTGATCTCCTGACCTCGTGATCCGCCCACCTCGGCCTTCCAAAGTACTGGGATTACAGGCAGGAGCCACCGCGCCCGGCCCATTTTTCTCATTTTTAACAGCTGATTATGTTACTAGTTCTATAACACTGGACATTTGGAAAAACAAAGTATAGCCAGTTTTTCCTATAACCAACTAATGTGTACTAATGAGCACATTGTATAAAATTATTTATCAGAAGTCTAATTGCTGGGTCAGAGTATGTACATTTAAAATATTGAATGGCATTGTTAAATGTCACTGCAATGTGGATGAGGCATTAAATAATCCCACCAAAAATAGTGAAATTTCCCACTGTCTCATAACTTCAGTAATGCTGGCCTTGTTAATTTATATATGTATTTAGTCTGCTAGATAAAAAATTGCACTTTATCATTTTGATTTGCAGTCCTTTGTTACTAGTGAGATTGAGGATCTTGTTATATGCTAATTGACTATTTGCATTTCCTCTGCTCTGAATTGCCTATATCCACCTTTGCTCATCTTTTAGATAATGTGCCTTTTCTTTCTTATGTTGAAGATGATCTCTCTATAGGGATATGGTGTTTGTTATATATTTTGTCAAAATTTCTTCCCGTTATGTAAATTGTCTTTAGACTTTTTCAGACTTTTTAAATTTTAAAATTATTTTGGACTTACAGAAAATTTTCCAAAATGGTACAGAGAATTCCCAAACACGTTCGCCTGGCTTTTCCTAATGTAATCATCGTATATAATGATGGTACAATTACAGAAACCAGAACATAATATTGATACAATACTGTTAACATATCTGTAGACATTATTCAAATTCCACTATTGTTCATATGAATATTCCTCTTCTGTTCAGGATCCAACTCATTATCTCACATTGCACAGTGGTTGCCACGTCTCCTTAGCCTCTTCTGGACTGTGACAATTCTTCAGTTTTTCCTTGTCACTTATAACCTTGGCATTTTTGAAGAATTCTGGTCATTTTTTGAAGGAAATTTTCTCAATTTAGGTTTGTTTGACATTTACTCAGGATTAGATTAAGGTAACATAGCTTTTGCGAGAACACTACAGAGGTGATAGACCCATCTTAGTGCATCTAATCAGGGGACATTGATTTTTATATGCCTTATTAGTGGCCATATTCACTTTAATCATTTTGTTGCAAAAGGTATCAGCCAGGATTCTACCCTGTAAAGTCATTCATCTTTGTAGTCTATGCAAATATTGTAGAAAAATAATTGAGACTATGCAAATATCCTGTTTCTCACCGTACTTTCTGTCACTGATTTTAGCATCCATTGGTGATTCTCGTATGCAACAATGACTTTGGTATTCTAATGATAATGTTTTATTTCCATCATTCATTCCACAGTTACTAATTGGAATTCTTACCTCCAGGAAGACTTATCAATCCCCCTCGTATATTTATTTATTCATTACATTTTTATCTCTATCTGTTTGGACTCATGAATATTTATTTTATTTTATTCTATAGGTTATAACCTGATGTTATTATTATAGCTTTTATTACTTTTTTATGTTGTTTTAATAAGCTTTATCATTTTTTGAGTTCTTTCTTATTCTCTTGTGAGGTTTTCCAGACTCATTTTATAGGTTTCCGGCCCAAGTCCTGAAATTACCATTTCTCCAAGGAGCCTTGCTTTTTTTTCCTGTTAGATAATGATATTTAGAATTAACATTTGAGTGTTAGGTATGCTCATTGCTACCAGAGCATCATTATTTCTAGGCCCCATAAGCAAACAGAGCTAGTAAGTACACATATGTATACTGATATACAAATAAATACGTTTATAATCATTTTGATATGCATGCATCTGACTCTATGTTAAAAACCATACTGATACCTGGGATCCCAGTCTAAAATACAGAGTTTATTCTTGCTTTCCCTCTGGCCTTATTTGTAAGTCCTTTTTTTTCAATAGTTAGAAATCTGGCTATTGTTACTCGTAGTATATATATTTATTCAATTATAAGTTTAAACATAACATAATTTTAAGCCATATCCTGTGATAAACACACTTACTGTGTAGAGTTCAATAATTATGTAAATTCTTTTTGCCTTTATTATTAAAATATATTGTTACAACCCTCTTTCCCAAAATTATTTAAGATAGTTATTTTCTTCTCTACCATGTTCCGCATGATAATGCCATTCATTTTAATATAGGTAGGTTTGTTTGTTATTGTTTGTCATCCATTTTTCATTGTCTCCCAAAATGGTGAACATTATATATTAATTTTGGGGCAGTATGTGAAACATAACTATGATTTTAATAATCACAGCTATAAAAACGGTACACTGAGAGTAATGCCACTCACTCTTCATACCTACTAACCTTTTCATCTTTTCCAATAACTTGCTCTCATTATCTACTCATTCAACTCTGTTTCCAAACTCATTAGCTTTTGGTTAATCTCTTCTGTATGTCTTTTTCAAACCTAAGCAAAAACATGTATTTCTTTCTCATGTCTTCATCATTTTTACAGCAAGGATAGTATACTGTAGATTTTTTTTAGCATTTTGCTTATTTTCTTAATAATATATAAATCATTCCATACCACTCCTTTAAATTCTTTTATTTTGAAATAAATATAGATTTAAAAGAAGATTCAAAGACATGTACAGGGAGGTCCCCTGCACCCATTACCAATCTATCCCAAAGTTAATGTCTTTCATAATTATAGTACAATATCAAAACCAGGAAATTTACATTGGTACAATTCGTAGAGCTCATTCAGATTTCACCAATGATGCATGCAATCATTTGTGTGTTTATGTGAGCGTATAATTCTACACAAGCTTGTCACATGTGCAGTTTCATGTAGCCACAGCCATAATCACACTGAGTTATGCCATCATCATTAAACTCCCTTGTATCCCTTTCTAGCCAAATTCACCCTATCTACCATCCTTAATACTTGGCAATGACTGACCTATTCTCTATCTGTACAATGTGATACAATATTCTTTTATACATCGCCAGATTTTATTTGCTAAAATGTTGATGTGAATTTTTGCATCTAAGATTATGAGAGATATTCGTTTGTAGTTTTCAATGTTTTAACGCTGTTTGTCTTACAGTACTGTCAGGGTAAAACTGGCTTCAAAAATGAGCTGGGGAGAAGTGTTCCTTCCTCTTTTATTTTCTGAAAAAGATTATGTAAATCTGATGTTGATTCTTCTGTAAATGTTTGGTAAAATTCTGTGAATTCATTTGTGCCTGAACCTTTCTTATTTGGGAGATCTTTAATTATAAATTTATCTCATTTAAATGTTATAAGGCTCTTCAAGTTATATATGTTATCTTAGCTGAGTTATATTACTTTGTGGCATTTGAGGAATTGGTCTCTTTTTTTCAAAGTTGATAAATTTATGAGCATAATTTTATTTGTAGTACTTCTTTATTATCCACCTTTCCCTTTTTATTCTTTTAATGACTGTAGGATCTGTTATGATATCAACTGTCACGTTCTTATTTGGTGATTACAGTCTTGTCTCTCCCTTCCCTCCTTCCTTCCTTCCTTCTTTCCTTCCTTCCTTTCTTCCTTTCTTTCTTTTTTCTCTCTTTTTCTTTCTTTCTCCCTTCTTTCCTTCCTTCCTTCCTACCTTCCTTCCTTCCTTCTTTCCTTCCTTCCTTTTTCTCTCTCTTTCTCTCTTTTCTTTTCTTCTTTTCTTTTGTTTTCTTTTATTTTCTTTTCTTTCTTTTCTCTTCTTTTGATGGAGTCTCCCTCTGTCACCCAGAGTGCAGTGGCACGATCTCGGCTCACTGCAGCCTCTGCCTCGGCCTCTGCCTCCACCTCAGCCTCTGCCTCCACATCTGCCTGCACCTCTGCCTCCACCTCCCGGGTTCAAACAATTCTCCTGCCTCAGCCTCCCAAGTAGCTGGGATTATAGGCACCCACCACCACGCCTGGCTATTTTTTGTTTGTTTAGTAGAGACTGGGCTTCACCACATTGGTCAGGCTGGTCTAGAACTCCTGACCTCAAGTGACCTGCGCACCTCAACCTCCCAAAGTGCTGGGATTACAGGTGTGAGCCACCGCACCCCACCTGAGTTTTCTTTCTGTTTTATCTTTTGTGGTATTGCTACAGATTTATTAAAATTTATTTATTTATTTATTTATTTATTTATTTATTTATTTATTTCAGAGTCTCACTCTGTCACCCAGGCTGGAGTGCAGTGGTGTGATCATGGCTCATTGTAGTGTTGACCTCATGGGCTCAAGGGAGTCTTCCCCCTTTGCCTGCCTGGCAGCCCCCTGAGTAGCTGGGACTACAGGTGCATGCCACCATGCCTGGCTAATTTTTGTATTTTTGGTAGAAAGAATGTTTTGCCATGTTGCCCAGGCTGGTCTCAAACTCCTGGGCTCAAGCAACCCATCTGCTTTGGCCTCCCAGAGTACTGAAATTACAGGTGTAGGCCACCGTGCCTGACTGATTTAATTATGTTTGCATATCTAGTATTTTTTCCCATTTTTTCATTATTTTTCTATTTTCAATTTCATTTATATTTGCTCTTATCTTTACTATTTCCTTCCTACTGCTAGCTTTGGATTTATTTTTGTGCTTGTTTTTCTGGTTTCTTCAGGTGGAAACTTAGATTATTGATTTGAGTGTTCTTCTTTTATAATGTAAGCATTTAAAGCTATAAGTTTCCCTCGCATGTTATCTACATATCACATATTTTAACATTTTGCATTTTAACTTTCATCCAGTTCTATGTATATTTTATTCATTTAATGTTTGACTTGTAACTACGGATTATTTAGAAATAAGTTATTTGAATTTCAAGTGTGTGAAAACTTTTGTATTTTCTTTCCATTATTGATTTTGAGTTCAATTTCTTTATATTCTGAAATCAGTCACTGTATGATTTCTATGATTTTAAATTTGGTGAAGTTTGCTTTATGATCCAAGATAATGTCTAACTTACTGTTATTGGGTGGATTGATCAGTGAGCATCAACTAAATCCTGCTGTTTGACGGTGATGCTCAGTTCTTCTAAATATTTTCTCATATTCAGTTCAGTAGATTTATCAATTATGGAACATTCAGTGCTGAAAATCCCAAATATAATTGTGGATTTGTCTCTTTCTCCTTTTAATACTATCAGGTTTTCCTTCAAGAATTTGAAGTTCTAGTTGTTTGCTACATACATATTTAGTATTACTACATTTTCCTGGTGGGTCGATAATTCTGTCACTGCATAATGCCCCTCTTTGTTCCTAGTACATTTCTTTTCATGAAATCTATTTTGTCTTACACTACTATAGTCAGTTCTGCTTTTTTCAAAATTGAGGTTTGCCTGATATGTCTTCTTTTTAATTTTTTTATTTTTACTTTCAATGTATCTATGTAATTATACTTGATGTTACCTCTAAAAACTCTACCTAGACCTGGATTTTGAATGTTTCTAATTTTTAAAAAGTTTTACAATTTTACATTTTACATATAATTACCAAATCCATTTTGAGTTCATATTTGTCCAAGTTGTGAAACCTAGGTTGAAGTTCATTTTTGTCTGTAGGTATAACCTGTTAATCCAGCAACATTTGTTGAGGAATTCACCCATGTCTTTTTGTAGTACTTCTGGGTTTTCATTTTTTATATTTAGTGATCTAACCCTTTGGAGTTTTTCCTTGTGTATGTTTGAAGTATGAATCAACTTTTACCATTTTCCAAATGGCTACTTAGTTATTCTAGCACCATTTATTAAGACGTCATCATTTGCCTCAGAGATTTGCAAAGCACTAAATTTCCATATATACTTGGGTGTATATGTGGGCTTTCTATTTCATTTCACTTGCCAAATTGTCATCTGTTATTATCACACTTTGAACTATATAGAATTTTTTAAATGCCTGGCAGGGCTAGTCCTCCCTAACAATATCAACATTTCAAAATCCATTAAAGAGCTTGTTGGCATATATATTGGGATTACATTAAATCTATATATTAATCTAGACACAATTAATATCTTCATAATTTTGAGACATCCAATCCAATTACAGGTGATACCTTTCCATTTGCTCAAACTACTTTATCTTTCAGTAGCATTGTAACATTTTTATCATATACTGTAGTTTTTTACATTTCATGTTGTTTATTCCTAAGTATTAATCTTTTTTGTTGCTATTTTATATGTGGTTTTCTCCACTATTATATCATCTAATTGGCTATTTTGGGGTGTGTATAAAAACTATTTAATGTTAATTGTACATTAATTTTAAGTACTACTGATTTATTATTTTATGGTTTTAGTATTATTATTGATTATTGTGTTGGTTAATTTTATGTGTCAACTTGACTTACTACAGAGTAACTAGATTAAACATTATTATGGGATGTGTCTTTGAGGGTGTTTCAGGAGGATGCTAGCATTTGAATCCATAGACTCAGTAGATTGATCTCCAGAATGTATCGTCCAATCTACTGAGGACTTGAAGAGAACAAAAGGTAGAAGAAGAAAGAATTCACCCCTTACTGACTGCCTGCTTGAATGGAAACATTTTGCCTCATTGTCTCTAGTACTCAGACTGAGATTTACACCATTGGCTCACTTGGTTCTCTGGTGTTTGTTCCTTCAGGCGCAGACCGAATTATACTACACCACTGGATTTCCTGGGCCTCCAGCTTGTAAATGGCAGATCATGGGACTTCTCAGACTCCATAATTGTGAATTGTAGAGTAATGGTTCACACGATTATAGTAGTGGAATTGGTTCACACAATTATAGTATATATATAGTATACTACTACTTGTGTTTTTCTGGGAAACACGGACTAATAAAATTATTTAGACTTCTTCATGTACACCATCATATTCTCTGCACATAAAGTCTTATTTCTATACTCATCCTATGTGTCCAAATGATTTTTTTGTCTAATTGCATTGGATATTAATTCCAGTGCATTTTTGAACAGTAGTAATGATAGTGGCAACTCTTGCCGTGTTCCTGATGTTAGTAAAAATCCTGTAGTGTTTCAACATCAAGATACTAGCTTTAGGACAAAGGTACATGTATTTTACTGTATAAAAAGAGTACATCACAATTCTTATCTTTGAGTGCTTTATTTTGAGCAGGTGTTAAGTTATGGTAAAGGAGTTTTAGCATCGGTATAGATAATCCTATGATTTTTGCTTTATATCTATTGATATGTTGCATTACATTAAGCAATATCTTAATATTGAGCTAAGCTTGTATTCCTGAGAGGAAAAAATATCTCATTAAGTCATTGTGTGTGTGTGTGTGTGTGTGTGTGTGTTTTAATGTGGTGTTAGATTTTGTTTGCCAATGCCATTTTAATGTATTTGTGCTAAAACTCAAAATATTCATGAGCAATGGCATGAGTTTTTAAATTTTTCTTTTTGGTTTAGGTGCCAATGTTTCCTGTTTCATGGCAAGAATTAAGGAGTTTTCATTTCATTTTCAACACTTCGAAATTTTTCTAAAGCACAGTGGCTATCAGTTCTTTGAAAGTGTGATAGAAATTCCATATGAAAAGTTCTGTGTCTGCTGTTTAGAAGGAAGTAGTTGCTTAATATTAATAACTATTTCTTCTGTGGAAAATGGTCTCTTTAAGTTTATAGGTCTAATGAAACCAAATTTTGCTAATCTGTATTAAGTAGAAAATTATTTTATGGAGATTTTTATATTTATTTGTAGAGGGGCTACACATTTTTCTCTTACATTTTAAAAACTATCTTCTGTTTCAATTGTCATTTTCTTTTTGACCTTTCTTATATTTGTGCTTTTTCCTTTTTTTCTTGATGAGGTTAGCTACTAGTTCATCCATTTTGTTTATTTGAAAATGCAGGATTTTGATTTAACTATAATATTTTCCTGTTCTCTACTTCATTGATTTCTGCTTTTATCACTATGATTTTCTTTTTTTAATTTTTAGATGAGAATTTATTTTATTTAAAATCTCTTATTGATAAAAGTGTTTACTGCTATGAAAGCTTATTTGATTGATTATTACTTTAAATGCATTCTCTTCTTATGATATGTGCTTTTTTATTGTCATTATATTTTAAAAATATTGTTATTTTTATTGTTATCATGTTTTGAGTTCTTTCTTATTCCCTTGTGAGGTTTTTCAGACTCATTTTATAGCTTTCCGGCCCAAGTCCTGAAATTACCATTTCTCCAACGAGCCTTAATTCCAGGGATGAAGTCGACTTGATCGTGGTGGATAGGCTTTTGATGTGCTGCTGGATTCAATTTCCAGTATTTTATTGAGGATTTTTGTTTCAATGTTCATCAGGGATATTCGCCTGAAGTTTTCTTAATTTGTTGTATCTCTACCAGGTTTTATCAGGTTCATGCTGGCTACACAGAATGAGTTAGGGAAGAGTCCTTCCTTTTTAGTTGTTTGGAATAGTTTCAGAATAAATGGTATCAGCTCCTCTTGGTTCTTCTGGTAGAATTCAGCTGTAAATCTGTCTCTTCCTGGGCTTTTTTTTAGTTGTTAGGCTATTTATTACTGCCTCAGTTTCATAACATGTTGTTGGTCTATTCAAGGATTCAACTTCTTCCTGGTTCAGTCTTGGGGAGGGTGTATGTGTTCAGGAATTTATCCATTTATTCTCGACTTCCCAGTTAATCTGCATAGAAGTGTTTATAGTATTATCTGATGGATATTTGTATTCCTGTGAGGTTAGTGGTTACATCTCTTTTTCATTTTTTACTGTGTCTGATTCTTTTTTCTTCTTTATTAGTCTAGCTAGAAGTCTATTTTATTTTTTTTAAAGAGCTTCTGGATTCATTTATTTTTTGAAGGTTTTTTTTTTTTGTCTCTATGTCCTTCTGTTCTGCTCTGATCTTGGTTTTTTCTTGTCTCCTGCTAGCTTCTGGTATTTTTGTTCTTGGTTTCCTAGTTCTTTTAGTTGTCATATTAGGGTGTCAATTTGAGATCTTTCTTGCTTATTGATGTGGGCATTTGGTGCTATAAATTTCTCTCTTAACACTGCTTTAGCTGTGTCCCAGAGATTCTGGTACATTGTCTGCCTTAATTTTATTATTTACCCAGGTGTCATTCAGAAGCAAGTTGTTTAATTTCCATGTAGTTGTTTGGTTTGGGGTGAGTTTCTTAATCTGGAGTTCTAACTTGATTGGACTGTTGTCTGAGAGACTGTTATTACTTCAGTTCTTTTGTATTTACTTCCACTTATGTGATTGATTTTAGAATAAGTGCCATGTGGCACAGAGAAGAATGTATATTCTGTTGTTTTTGTGTGGAGAATTCTGTAGATATATATCAGGTCTGCTTTAGTTCAAGACCTCAATATTCTTGTAAATTTTCTATCTCAATAATCTGCTATTGACAGTGAGGTGTTAAAGTCTCCTACTATTATTGTGTGGTGTATTACTGCTGCTGATAAACACAAACCCAAGACTGGGCAATTTAAAAAATAAAGAGGTTTAATTGGACTTACAGTTCTGTGTGGCTGGGGAAGCTTCACAATCATGGTGAAAAGCAAGGAGGAGCAAGTCATGTCTTACATGGATGGCCGCAAAGAGAGCTTGCGCAGGAAAAATCCCTTTTGTAATAACCATCAGATCTCATGAGACTTACTATCATGAGAACAGCATAGGAAAGACCTACCCCCATGATTCAATTACCTCCAACAAGGTCCCTCACACAATAAGTAGGAATTCAACATTTGATTTGGGTGGGGACACAGCCAAACCATATTATGTGGGAGTCTAAGTCTCTTTGTAGGTCTCCAAGGACTTGTTTGGTGAATCTGGGTGCTCCTGTATTGGGTGCACATATATTTAGGATAGTTAGCTCTTCTTGTTATATTGATTATTTACCATTATGTGATACCCTTCTTTGACTTTTTTGATTTTTGTTGGTTTAAAGTCTCTTTCATCAGAAACCAGGATTGTAACCTCTGCTTTTTTCTGCTTTCCACTTCTTGGTAAACTTCTCTCCATCCCTCCATTCTGAGCCTATGTGTGTCTTTGCACATGAGATTGGTCTCTTGAATACAGCATATCAATGGGTCTTGACTCTATCTAGCTTGCCATTCTGTGTCTTTTAGCCCATTTACATTTTAGATTAATATTGTTATATGTAAATTTAGTCCTGTCATCATGATGCAAGCTGGTTATTTTGCAAACTTTTTGATGTAGTTGCGTCACTGTGTCATTGGTCTTTGTACTTCAGTATGTTTTTGCATTGGCTGGTAATAGATTTTCCTTTCCATACTTAGTGCTTTCTTCAGTAGCCCTTGCAAGGCAGGTCTGCTGGTGACAAATTCCCTCAACATTTGCTTGTCTGAAAAGAATTTTATTTATTTTTCACTTATGAAGCTTAGTTTGGCCAGATATGAAATTCTAAATTAAAAATTATTTTCTTTAAGAATGCAGAATATTGGCCTCTAATCTCTTCTGGCTTGTAGAGTTTCTGCTGAGAGGTCTGCTGTTACTCTGATGGGCTTTTCTTTGTAGGTGGCCTGGCCTTTCTGTCTGGATGCCCTTAACAGTTTTCCCTGCATTTTAACCTTGGATAATCTGATGATTATCTGTCTTGAGGTGGATCTTCTCATGAAGTATTTTATTGGGGTTCTCTGGATTTCTTGAATTTGAATGTTGGCCTGTCTTCTTAGGTTGGGGAAGTTCTCCTGGGTGATATCCTGAAGTGTGTTTTTCAACTTGGTTCTGTTCTTCCCATCTTTTCCAGGTACCCCGATCAGTCACAGGTTCAGTCTTTTTACATAATCCCATAGTTCTCAGAGGTTTTTTTCATTCCTTTTCATTCCTTTTTTCTCTGATCTTGTCTGCCTGTCTTATTTCAGCAAGATAGTCTTCAAGCTCTGAAATTCTTCCCTCTGCTTTTTTATTCGGTGATTGATACTTGTGGTTGCATTGTGAAGTTATTTTGTTGTGTTTTTCTGCTCTATCAGGTCATATATGCTCCTCTCTAAACTATCTGTTCTGCTTAACAGCTCCTGTAATGTTTTATTACGGTTCTTAGCTTCTTTGCATTGGGTTAGAATATACTCCTTTAGCTCAGTAAAGTTCATTATTACACATCATTTGAAACCTACTTCTGTCAATTCATCTATCTCAGACTTTGCCTGGTTCTGTGCCCTTTCTGGAGAGGTGTTGTGATCATTTTCAGAAATAGAGGCACTCTGGATTTTTGAGTTTTCATTGTTTTTTTTTTTGTTGTTTCTCATCTTCTTGAGTTTATCTAACTTTGATATTTGAGGCTGTTGGCTTTTGGATGGGTTTTTGTAGGAACTTTTTCGTTGAGGTCGTTGTTGTCATCTTCTGTTTGTTTGTTTTTCTTTTAATAGTCAAGCCCATTTTCTATAGGGCTGCTGTGTTTTCCTGGGGGTCCACTACAAATCCTATTCCCCTGGGTCCCTCCTGCACCTGGAGGTGTCACCCATGGAGGCAACAGAGCAGCAAAGATAGTTGCCTGCTTCTTTCTCTGGGATCTCTGTCTTAGAGGAGCAAGACCTGTTGACAGCATGAACACTCCTGTATAAGTTCTCTGGTGATTCCTGTTGAGGGGTCTCACCCAGTCCAGAGTCACAGGATCTGAAATACACTTAATGACGCACTCTGCTTGCCCATTGGCAGATGATGTGTGCTGTGTAGGGGGACATCTCACTCATAGGGACTGCCCAATATCCTCAGAGCCTGCAGGCAAGGCTAAGTCTGCTTATCCTCAGAGACTGTGGCTACCCCTCCCCCAGTGGGCTCAGTTTCAGGGAGATCAGATTTTTGTCTCTAAACCCCTGGCTAGAATTGCTGAAATTCCTGCAGGGAGGCCCCTCCCAGTGAAAAAGGGATGGATCCGGGTCTGACCTAAAGAGGCAGTCTGGCCACGATCTGCCACAGCCACTGTGCTGCACTGTGGGGAATTCCTCCTGGATCCAAATCATCCAGTCTCCCTGTTACCAGCAGGGGAAAAAGTGGCAGACTGGCACTGTGGTGATGGCTGCCGCCCCTCCTGCAAGGAGCTCAGTCGTCTTAGGCAGCAGGCAGCTGCAGTGTTGACAGCCAACTCTTTCCCCCAGGGACTTGGTAGTCTTAGGCAGTCTCCAGCCAAGTGACTGCTGAGAATCTGCATATCTCTGTGCTTGAGACCCAAGGCCCTGGTCGTATGGGCTCATGAGGAGGCTGTATTGATTCACAGGTTGCACAGCAAAAAGCATAGTTTCCCAGGCAAGGTAGTAGATCACTCCCTGCCTCCTTTGGCTTGGGGTGGGAGCTCCCCTTGCTCCATGTGGCTCCCAGGTGGACCATCACACCATCCTGCTTTTCCTTGCTCTCCGTGGGTCACACCAACTGCCTAGTAAGTCCAAATGAGAGAACCTGAATACCTCACTTGCCTGTGCAGGATTCACTCGTAGTTTTTGTTCCTCTCACTGGGAGCCTCTGACTGCAGCTGTTTCTAGTTGGCCATCTTAGCCCCTCCCGTTGTTTAACATTTTGATAGAAAAAGAGACTTATAAAAATCTGAAAAAAACTAAGTGAAATGAGGAAATTTGTCCGGGTGCGGTGGCTCATGCCTGTAATCCCAGCAGTTTCTGAGGCCAAGGCAGGCAGATCACTTGAGGTCAGGAGTTCAAGAACAGCCTGGCCAAAAAGGTGAAATCCTGTCTCTACTAAAAATACAAAAATTAGCTGGGCAGAGTGGCAGGCACCTGTAATCCCCAGGAGAATCGCTTGAACCTGGGAGGCAGAGGTTGCAGTGAACCATGACTGTGGGGATTAGGTTGTAATCATGTAGGTTAAAGACATTTCTAACCTTTCCAGTAATATCTATCATAGTTTAAGACCTATCAGACTTGGAAAACTAGTGCATTCTTAATATTTTTATGTTCTATGTTGAATGGGCCTCACTCACAGGAAATAAATAGCAGGCTAATTTAGCAGGCTGTATTTATACATCTAAATAGTGTTTAGATGTATAAGTGGTATTAAGTTTTGCTTAAATATTAAAGATCCCAATGACTTCATCAAAAGAGAAAACTGATTAGTTATATGGCTTAGCCTAAAAGTGATTTCATTTTTAAAACTTTTTTTTTTTTTTTTTTTACTTTTGGGTTGGTCTAGGCCTTTTAACTCCATGACTTCATCATTTTGCAGAATGCTTTATATTATATAAAACACACTTATGTTTCCTAAATTATGACTGATGTTATAAATAATAGTAAGAAGTGTATTATGTCAGTTTATTTTTAAAAAGTGTTAATGTTCTGTAAAAAAAAATAAATTTAATGAGTTTGATTCTTTATTTGGGCAATCAGTTATCTCTAAAGAAGGGTGTATGCATCCAAGCATTGCACAACATGGTTACTTGGGGAGTGGGAAAATACTAGAATTGCTGTTTATTTTTATTTTTACTGTGGTCCTTTTATTTTTTTTTTTTGTACATTTTGTAATGTATATATAATCTATACATAACATATTTATTGTCTATACTAGCACTACCCAATATAACTCTCTGCAATGATAGAAACATACTATAAAGTAGAATGATAGCCACTAGATATAAGTGGCTGATAAGAACATGAAATGTGAACAATAAACTGAGAAATTGGATTTTTAGGTTTATCTAGTATTAATTAGTTTGAATTTAAACTTAAATAGCTACATGTGGTTCGTGGCTACTCTATTGGACAGTAAAAAATCTATAAATGTATAATAGTTTATGTATTATGCAGTTTGTGTTTGTGTGTGTGTTCGTGTAAGTTGACTGATTTTCATTTTTATCCTCTTATTTTTATACCCCATATATTCCAGTGAAGATTTATTAATATTTATACTACCACAAATATAAAAGAGAAATAAGTGCCAATAATCCCAATTCTTTAAACTGTCAATAGATCCCACTTCTTCAGTCAGCACATGGAGAAGTTTTTCTGTTCTTTACAGTGTAGTATAATTATATGACACATATAAACAGTCACTGCCTCATGAACTGGTCTGATTATTGAGGCACAAGGTCAGTATCAAAGCCAAAAGCATACATACACTGTGATTCTCTGGTGGTTTACTATTCTTAGTGCTCAGGCTTCCAGGTTTCAGTTTCCAGCTTTCAGAGTACCTTGGGAATAGTGGTTGAGGCAGCTGCCAGATAAATAATTATATAATAAGATAGGATGTGAAAGCAATTGAAGTGGGAAATCAGACAGAGCAGAAGAAATGTTCATTCTCCATTGCTGTTTTATATGGTTCTTGGCTACATCTTTTACATCAAGAAATAAAAAGTAAATGTCTATTCTTGTACTTCTTTTCTGACAGAAAGTTTAACTGGCAAGAATTTCGGTATTGATTGGAAAATACCTTTCGTAAATTTTATAAATACATGTTCTTTTTTCACTCTAGGACTTTTTGGGCTAGAATTCTAAAGGTAGTAAATAACTTACAGAAGACCAGTATTTCTAATAAAATGTTATTTTTTACCTGCTTTATATGATAAATAGATACCTAGATTCCCTTGAGCTATGTGCATTTTATACTCAGTCTAGACCTTATTAAATGATATAAAAATGATAATTTAAATAATTTATTTCTAGTTATCTCAGTTACATAATAAATATATTAAAAGTATGAAACTGCTCATTTATAATATAATCATGCTGGTCTTTTGTGAGAATATTTTATATAAACTCATATAATTTTATATAGTGATACAACATCAGTATCGTCATTTGATAATTGAGTTCGATAAATACAAGAAAATTGTCATCAGATGGCTAACTAGAGGCACCCAACACTCATCTCCACAAAGAAGGACCAAAGCAACAAATAAATAACTGCATCTTGAGTAGAGTGACTGAGACAGAAGACTGGAACTCAGCAAGAAAGTGATGAAAATGCTCTGAGACATAGAAACTCTAGATGGCAGCATAGAAAGGGAAGAAAAATGCCCAGCCAGATCCAGCTCAGAGCCAAGAAAATGTACACACCAGATCCCCAGCATTCCCAATTATCACAAAAGGTGCCTTAATTTCTATCTATAAGACAACCCTACAATCCTCACAGGCCCTGAGATCAGTATAGAAAGTTTTCTGGAGTCCACATGGCTGTTTTTGTCCAAAAGAGGAAACACACAATGAGACACCACCTACTCCTCGGTACACTGGCTACTATAGCAGGCAACATTTACAGAATGGAGCCACTGAGGGAATATATTATGCCCTGGGGGCCAATAGCATTTAAATCTCCACATCCTTGAGGTTTGTCATCACCCCATTTTACCAACACAGAAGGTTTCAACATTGTGATCCCAGTAAGACTCAATGGTACAGCTGGGACCCCACTTGAACCCATACTTCCCTATACTCCAGAGAGCAGGGGTTCCAGCACAACAGGGAGGCTGTTCCCAGGATCAGGGACACCATTATGCACACTCCCCAGGCACCTAGAACTGGTACCTTGTGCCTACCTCTGGCAGTAATCCAACCATCTCCAGCACCAGGGCCACTGTGTGCTGTATGCACCCATCAAGAACCCAGCACTGACCTTCCTAATGCCTCTCACTAGTGTTGAACCACTATCCTTGACCAGTGAAGCTGCTGCACACAGTGCATACCTACCAGGGATTGGGGGATGAACTGCCTGTTGTGCCACCACAGGTGACACCAGCTCCATGACTGGCAGTGCTGCTGTACCTGTCACATATTCCCAAGGACTTGAGAATAAGCCTGACCACTGGCCCTCACCCCTGAAAAAGTCTTGCCACTGCCTCCGCAAACACCTGAAGTGTAGGCCACTGAGGCACAGATACTAATGACAGTTATTGAAGCCTAAGAAATTGCACAGAGACTACACTATTGCACCTGCCCAGTACCCAGAGCAAAGTACCCTACCTAACCAACAATATAGGAAATGAGCACAGAGAAATGTTTTTCCCTAAAAAAACTACTCTGTGAAATTGGGAGAGGTTACCATTTCACCAGATGTGCAGATATAAACGTAGGAACACATGAAACATTGAAAATAAAAAAAAAGAGGATATAAAACATCCAAAAGAACTCAATAAATTTCCAGTAACTGAACCTCGAAAAAGAAAATCTATCAAATCTTTGAAAAAAAAATCAAAATAATGTTCTTAAGGAAACTCAGCTTGATACAAGAGTATGCAGATAGACAATTCATCAAAATCAGGAAAACAATTAATGATCTGAATAAGTTCAACAGAGATACATATTATATAAAAATATCAAACAGAAATTGAGGAACTACAAATTCAATGAATGAAATAAAAAAAATACAATATAGAGCTTCAACCACAGACTAGATCAAGCAGAAGAAATAATTTCTCAATCTGTGTATGGCTCTTTTAAAATAACCCAGAGGGGGAAAAGAATAAATCACAAAAAAATGAAGAAAGCCTATGGGAATTACAGAACACCATTAAGCATGCAAATTTTAACATTTGAAGAGACTGGAAAATGAGAAGAGACAGGAAAAGGCATAGAAAATATATTTGATAAAACAGTAGCTGAAAACGTCCCAACTCTTGTGAAAGATATGGACATCCAAATTCAGTAAGCTCAAATGTTTCCAAATAGACCAAACTCACAAAAGTTCTTTCTCAAGGCATATTATAGAAAAACTGTCAAAAGTATAAGATGAAGTGAGGATTTTTTAAATGGCAAAAAAAGCATTAAGTCACATATAAGAGGATACTCATTATATTAACAGCAGATTTCTCAGCAAAAATCCTTACATGACAAGAAAAAAATGGGAAGACATATTACAAGCTAAAAAAAAAAAAAAATCTGTCTACTAAGAATACTATACTCAAAAAGCTAGCTTTCAAAAATAAAGAAGAAATAAAATATATCTCAGAAAAGCAAAAACTGAGGGAATTCATCACCACTAGACTGGTCCTACAGGATGTGCTTAGGGGAATCTGATATCTAGAAATAAAAAATAATAACTATCATTATGATAATATGCAAAAGTATAAAACACACTTGTAAAGAAGATCCACAAATGATAAAAAAAAAGCAATTAAACTGTATTACTACAAAAAAAACATGAAAAGTCAAAGATAATCAGAAAGAAAAGAACAAAATGAACAATATATACAAAACTACCAGAAAATAATGAACAAAATGGCACAAATAAGTTTTCTCCTATTTATGATAACCTCAAATATAAATGGATTAAGCTCTCCAACTAAAATATACAAACTGGTGGAATAATTTTTTTGGCAACCCAACCATATGCTGTTTACAAGAAACTCAGTTTATCTGTAAACATACATATAGACTGAAAGTAAGTACTTTATGCAATTAAAACCCAAAAATAAGCACGAATAGCTCTACTTATATTAGACAGACTTTATCCATAAAAAGTATAAAAGGAGAACAATAAGGTCATTATATAACAATAAAGTGATCAATGCAGTAAGAGGATCCAAAATATATGGATATATATAAATGCAACACTGGAGCACCAAGATATGTAAACAAATATTATTATATCTAATGGGGAAGATAAACTCCAATACAGTAATAGTTGGGGACTTCAATACCTTACTCTCAGAATTGGACAGATCACTTAAACGGAAATCAACACAGAAACATTGCATTTAAAATGCCTGAGAACAAATAGGCCTAAAAAACAAGAACATTTTATTCAACATCTTTAGTATACACAAATTCTTCTCATCAGCATATGGAACATGTTTCTGGTAGACCATATTAAAGGCCACAAAAAGTCTCAATAAATTTTAAAAGAAATCAAAATCATATTAAGTATCTTTCTTCACCATAATAGAATAAAAGTAGAAATCAATAACAGGAGGAACTTTGGAAACTGTACAAATACATGGAAACTAACAACATGCTCCTGAATGACTAATGGGTCAATGATATATTAAGAAGGTACTTAGAAAATTTCTTGAAACAAATGACAAAAGTAACAGAATATACCAAAACCTATGGAACACAACAAAAGCACTACTAAAAGGGAAGTTCATAGCAATAAACACCTATATAAAAAAAGAACATTTTCAAATAAACAATCTATAAATGGACCTTAAGGAACAAAGAAAATGAGAGCAAACCAAAGCCAAAATTAATAGAAAAATAAATAATAATGATCCAGCAGAAATAAACAGAGACTGAAAATACAAAAGATCAATCAAATGAAACAGTGTTTTTAAATAAACAAAATAAACAAATAACTAGCTAGACTAGAATAAAAAGAGCCCCAAAAATTATTAAAAAGAAAAAATTGCAACTGATAACACAGAAATACAGAATACCATGAGAGATTATTATGAACAACTATATGCCAATAAAATGGAAAAGCTAAAGGGAAATGGATAAATTCCTGGACACACAGAACCTATCATCAAGAATGAACCAGGAAGAAATGGAAAACCTGAGCAGACCAAAAACAAGTAATAAGTTTGAAGTGCTAGTAAAATATTTCTCACAACATCAAAAATACCTAGGATCAGATGACTTCATTGCTGAATTCTACCAAACATTTAAATTAAAATTAATTTCAATTTTTCTGAAACTATTCCAAAAATTGAAGGGTAGGAAATTATTTTAAACTCATTCTATGAGGCCAGCATTGCCCTGACACCAAAACCAGACAAGGATAAAACAACAACAAAACTGTAGGCCAACATCCCTGATGAGCACAGATGCAAAAATTATTAACAAAATACTAGCAAACTGAATCCAATAGCACATCAATACAATTATACAGCATAATTAAATAAAATGTATTTCAGGGATACAAGAATGGCTTAACATACACAAATCAATAAATGTGATAAATCATATAAACAAAATGAAGGAAAAACAATCATCTCAATAGATGCAGATAAAGCATTTGAAAAAATTCAACATTTCTGAATAATAAATACTCTCAATAAATTAAGTATAGAAGAAACATACCTTAAGAAAATAAAGGCTATAAGTTGCAACTAACATCATCCTGAACAAGGAAGAATTGAACCTTTTTTTCTAAAATCTGGCACAAGATGTGAATGCCCTCTTTCACTACTGTTATTTGACACAGCACTGAAGGTCCTAGTCAGAGCGATTAGAGAAGACAAAGAAATAAAGTGCCCTTAAATTGGAAAGGAGGAAGACGAATTGTACCTGTTGGCAGATGGCGTGTGTTTTTATATAGATATTCTAAAGACTCTACCAAAATCTTTTAGAACTAATAAATGAATTCAGTAAACTCACAGGATAAAAAATCAACATACAAATGTCATTTGCATTTTTATACACCAATAATAATCTAGGTGAATAAGAAATTGAGAAAGTAATACTGTTTACAATAGCCACAAAATATCACGTATTTAGGAATAAATATAACCATGGAGATGATAGATCTCTACAATAAAAAATAATAAAACTATAACCATGGAGATGATAGATCTCTACAATAAAAATAATCAAACTCTGATGAAATAAAGACATTTAAAAAATAAAACATCCCCTTTTCATGGATTGAAATAATTACTATCGTTAAAATAACCACACTACCCAAAGTTATCTACAGATTCCATGTAATCCCTAACAAAACATTCACAGGATTTTTCACAGAAATAGTAAAAAAAGACAATAAAAACATTTATGTGGGACTAAAAACGATCTAAAATAGCCAAAGGAGTCTTCTGAAAAGAACAAGCAAGAGGCATTACACTACCTGACCTAAAATGTACTACAAACATAGTAATAAAAATAACATGGTACTGGCATAAAATCAGGCACATAGACTAATGGAAAAGGCTAAAGGACCCAGAAATAAATCTACATATATACAGCCCAATGTTAACAAAGTTTTCAAGAATACATATTGGGGAAATGACAGTATCTTCAATAAATGGTGGTTGGAAAATTGCATATCCATGTACAAAGAATAAAACTAAAGCCATATTCCCCACTATATACAAAGTTGAACTCAAAAGTAAAGTAAACACCTAAATATAAGACCGGAAACTATAACACTTCCAAAAGAAAACAGGAAAATCCTTCAGGACGTTGGCCTGGGCAAATATTTTATGGCTAGGACCTCAAAAGCACAGGCAACAAAAGTAAAAATAGACAACTGGAATTGTATCAAAATTAAAAGTTTCTGCAAGGAAAGAAAAACAATAAATGAAGAGACAATCAGCAGAATGGGAGAAAATATTTTCAAACTACTAATTTGACAAGAGACTTACATGTAGAATATAAAAGGATCTCAACTCTACAGCAGAAAAACAAATAACCTGATTAAAAAGGACAGCAGAAGATCTGAACAGTAATTTCTCAAAAGAAGACATACAAACATTAAAAAGTATATCAAAATGTTCATTATTACTAATAATCAGAGAAATGCAAATCAAACTCACAGTGGTATCATCTCACCTTAATTAGAATGGCTATTATAAAAAAATGGTGGTGAGAATGCAGAGAAAAGCTTATACTTTGCTGGTCAGAATGTAAATCAGTCATCAGTTAAGAAACAGAGTATGGAAGTTCCTCAAATGACAAAAAACAGAGCTGTTGTATCAGCCAGCCATGCTGCTACTGAATACATATTTTTTAAAAAGTAAATTAGTATTTCAAAGAGATACCTGTACTTGAATATTTTTCTCAGAACTTGTCACCATAATCAGAATATTGACTCAACCTAAGAGTCCATCAACAGATGAATAGATAATGAAAATGTGGTATAGATTCACAATGTAATATCATTCAGCCTTTAAAAAGAATAAAATCCTGCTATATGTGGCAGAATGGATGAATCTGTAGGACATTACATCAAGTAAACTGATCCAGGCTCAAAAACATAAATACCATGTGTTCTCACTCACATGTAGAAGCTAAAAATGTTTATATCATTGAAGGAGAGAGTAGAATAGTAGTAATTAGAGGCTGGGAATGATAAGGGGCTGTATAGGGAAAGGTGGTTTATTGGATACACAATTATAGCTAGATAAGAGGAAAAATTTCTAGTGTGACTAGTGTGACTAGTAAACAATAATTTATTCTGAATTTTTAAACAGCTATGAGAGGATTTTTAATATTCCCAATACAAATAAATGATAAATGTATGAGGTGATGAATATACCAATTAGCCTGATTTGAGCATCACATATTTTATACATATATTTTATATAGGTATCAAAATTTCACCTCTACCTCATAAATATGTACAATGACTATATGTCAACTAGAATTTCAAAAAAGAAATAGCCAAACAAATCATACTTCAAAAACAATTAGAAAACTGTCATCTTAAAATAAACAATGTAACATATATCAAAGAAATATTGCTTCTTTCACCCTCAAGTATCTCTAAGGTAGTTAGCATTTTTTATATGTGAGTGCAAGAGAAAAAATCATTGCATAGTGAAGACTGATTTTCTCATTTGAGAGTTTTCTTCTATTTTCCATTGTTTAATTTCCCTGAGAAGTAGTTTTGTTACCAAACACTAGGGATTTGGCCTAGGTCCTGCTGTTCATTGCACTGAAAGCCAATCATTGAGTCAATGATTATTGCCAAGAAAAAAGACTTTAAACAGGTGCTACAGCCAGGGAGAGGGGAGATCAGGCTCAAATCCATCTCCCTGACTGACTAAAATTAGAGGTTTATATAGCAGGAAAGAAATGTAACTATGTATAGGAAAACAGGAATTCAGGTGAGGTAAGGAAGTAATCATGATGAATGAGTGGTCTGGTGTCTCATGGTCCGGATGTGATGATCTGATGAGTTTGATATTTGATACCTTTTGAGAGGGCTAATATCTCATTGTCTTAATCTGGTGAGTTTCAAGTTTTAAGACTAGAATGGTCAATTTCCATTTTTATAAAAAAAAAAACCTATGTGACTATTAGATTGGTTTCAGCACCTCCCCCCCCCCCTTTTATTTATCAATTCCTCAATCATGGGGATTCTGATGATCAATCATTCTGGCTTCTTCCTGCTGAGGAGGGGCATTGTGGGTACTCCATACCATGGGTGATCATGTGGCCATGGAGAAATCAAAGATTGGTACTATAGTTTTCTTTTGAAATACAATTTTTCTCTCTCTAGTCACCCACTTTCACCAAAGACCAATTATAATAGGACAAACCTTCCTGCAAAATAAGATTTAGTCCCATATATTTGGCCTGATTACCCACATAAAGTGCAGAAATAATTATTGTCCAAATAGGCTCTCTTGAGTTGGCTTTGCTGAAACTTCTCACAGACCATTTCAGTCAAAACCCTTGGAAAATAATCAGTTCCTCCAACTGCATCCCCTTATAAAAGAAAACAAGTTCTTACTAAACATATACAAACAATCACATTGCCATGAATTAAGAATATTCACAAATAGTTTACAAATTTTAGGCAGAGAGAGAGAGGACTATGACTCAAAATCTTCAATCTATCCTCAATATACTTAAAGTATATTTCAAGGTTATAAATAGCTCTAAAGAAAAAAGTTCTCCAGATTCTGAAAAACAAAGAATCAACAATATTTCAAGCAAAAAAGCCATAAAAATTATGTCAGTCCACCATTAGTTCAGACCATCCAATCAGCTCCTACTGTGCTTCATATTTTGTTAGCAGTCTTTATAAACACATCAGCTAGTTAATTAGACTGCTGGAAGTTTTCTTTCTAATCCAGTGGCACAATCTCCAAAGTTATCAGAATTCTTTATTCATGAGTTCCTTCCATAAACTGCCCCAAAGAAGCAAGCCCTGGATTAAAACTGATTTTAAGTCACTTTTTAACAAGAATCAACAAGAAACAACTGTGGATGACAAAAGTCTTAAAACAGTCATAGTTAAAGATACAGTTGATGAGGAAATTAGGTAATTTCTGTTGGCAAAAAAAAAAAATTCAACATAATTATAATCATTACTTAACAAATATATTAAGGTATGTCAGAATTTCAGGAATATCATACAGTCCTAGAACACGTATTAATAACACATCTTTATAAATATAACCCAAAAGAAGTTAAATACTATGTCACATTTGACAATGATTTTTGTATAATTCTAACTTACCAAATAAGCCTAATGTGTCTCTGTTGGTCTTCAGGGGACCCAATATAAAAAAAAAAAAGTTAGTATGAGGTTAAAAAGACTGAATTTCGAACTTGAAATTTTGCTGTTGGAAAATCTTTCAACTATCAAAGGTTTAAGACAATTGATACTACAAAATAGAACCACAAGTTACTACAAACTAGTCATTCATTTAGCCAGAATGATACCACAAAAACAATTATCCTTTGATAGTGATGAGACGAAGTTTCTCAAACAATGAAACCTAATAAAGATAGCATGAGGTCAAATAAATTTGTCTCTCCCTATCCTTTTTCCCCCGCAGTGTAATCAAATGGTAAACAAAAATCTCCTATTATCCAGTACATGAAAATTTTCTCCAAAGAAGAAAACCAAATTTTACCTTTGTATGGTGTATTATTAATGTTAAAGCTAATTTTAATAAAATTTAATAAAACCTTAAAAACAAATCTATCTAATTTTAATCAGTTTGACCATAAGATAAAATTTCTGTTAAATCTTTTATAACTCTATTAAAGAGCAGATCAATGCTCCAAGAAAACCCTGTTATTTTTACACACAGGCCTAGATGTTGGCTTTACATCAGTGTGCTTTTAATATTAATGTTTAATTTATATATAAAAAAAACTCTGAACAAATTTTATCTCACAAAATTGGCCCTTAAAATTTCATGTGCCCACCTGTTTCATGATAGTCCCTGAGTCTAGAGAGATTGAACGGTTCAAACTTCTTGTTCTGTGTTTCACAAAAGCATTCATTCTGATTTTCACTTTCTCTGTGGTCTCAAAACACAGCTTAGACTGTTGTCAATGCTCAAAATTTAGCAGAAGTGTGTGCCTTTTCAGATTCAAAGGCACTTTGTGCTGTTAAGTTCCAGGATTCAAAGCCCTATAACTTAACAGCACAAGGATGGGTTAATAAGATATTTATACCACAGAAAGTGCTATCATTTTCTCTATCGTGTGTGCCTTTTCAGATACAAAGGCACTTTGTGCTGTTAAGTTCCAGGATTCAAAGCCCTATAACTTAACAGCACAAGGATGGGTTAATAAGATATTTATACCACAGAAAGTGCTATCATTTTCTCTATCGTTTCACAAATTAAAACACTGTGATTTGGTGTTCAGAGGCTACTGCCTGCTGCACTTGAAACCACTGTGTATTAAGTTAGTCAGATTACTTATTGCATGTCTAGTTGCTAGCATTCTAGTGACAAAACTGTGATCAAAAGCATCCAAACTTTTGTTTGGATAGTTCCTACTATCCAAACTTTTGTGATAGTTCCTGCTCCAAACTTATCAAAGTAAGATGACTAAGGTTTCTCTTCATCATTTAAAAAATTATAAATGCAGTTATCAGTTTTGGAAATTCAGTGTGAGAAAAAATAATCTCCTTTCATTTAAATACTATACAACAAAACAGGGACAAATTAAGAACAAGCACACAGTAATTTCTTTTCAACTGTTTTAAAAGGACATCATCACACATTTCCAAGATTGGTTTCTAGATACAGTACAGACAACTGATTAGGTAACTTTCACCAGTAAAATATTCAAGCCAGGGTAACACTTGTACATATTTCATTTTCAATTATACACATCGAGGCCTATCAGTGATAAATGGCTTGGGATAAAAAAAAATTACTAGAAAGTCATACTTTTTTTATTATGACTTAACCCAAGCAAATGTCATTGAATTTTAATAATGTTAAATACAACTAAATTGGTTTGAGAGAAATCACAGTCAGTATAATTTCCTTAAGGGCAAGACCAAACTTTTCTGAACATTAAAACTTTACGTCCATGTCATAATTTTTCTTCATTCCCTAAATAAAAAGATCTGAAACCAACTCAAATTATTGATTGAACTGAATTACCTTGGAAATAAACATTATTTAAACATCTTTATTCTCACCTACTTTTTTCAAATGAAGTAATGTAACACTGCTGCTCAAAACATGTAAAAATAAATCTTATTTATTTTATTTTTACAGAAACCTTAAAGCATTTGTAGCTCTCTGTCAGAGGTAAACAAAACCAATCAAATTTTAAATAGTTGACGTCCTCTATTACTTACTTTTTGCAGGTTTGACATAGGCAGCTTGGAATTTTAGATAAATAGAACAGATGATGAATTGTTGGAAATGCATAGGCCAATAAATGGCTATTCATGGGATCAAATAAAAGCCTTCCATTAGAAACTAAAAACCATCAATGGTTTTATATATATGTATATATAATTAAAATTCCAAAAAGATCAAACAGCAAATAAATGAAAATTAAAAGCAAAAACAAATAAACAGAAAACCGACTCCAATTATTTCTCCTACTCAGTTTATATGAGAGGCTACAATGTTACCCAGAGCCTAAAACAAACACCTAATGGACATTTTGTTTCTGGTATACAGATTAATGTCTTCAAGTTGATCAATACCAATATATATTTTGTGCAATTGAGAAATTCACTGTAGGCAGATGACCAATAAGTACATTAGTACTTGTACTGATAGGTGAAGGAGGCAGAGAAATTCTAGGCAGAAAAGGGCAGGTCCCCAGTGAAACCCTCAAGCCAAAAAGCCTGAAACCATGGCCTAAAATGAGAACTTATATCCCTGTTTTCCTGCTTGAATGTTGTCTTTTCCTAAACTACCCATGGCCCACCCTGTCCTCCATTATGTGCCTGTAAAGACCCAAGATTCAGTTGGAGAGGAGCAGAGACTATGGTTGGATGTTGGAGAAAAATGGCTTGATTTCGGAGGGACAGCTTGATGGTGTAACCTTGGAGAAGAATCTGGCTGGAGACAGCCAGACTTCAGGGGAGGATTGCCTACCTCCCCATCCCCTTTTGAGCACCTCTTCCCACTGAGAGGCAATTTAATCAGCAATAAAATACCCTGCATATATCATCCTTCAACTTGTTCATTTAACCTCATTTTTCCTGGACTCTGGACAGGAGCTTGGGAGCCACAAGTGGATACAAAAGGCTGTCACACTGGCCCTTTCCCCTCAGTGGTGGAGGGCAGCGGCCCCACACAATGAGGCAAAGTGCCCACTGAGCTACAAACACTTAAGCCATCCATGGATGACACAGCTTAAAGAGCACTGGTAACATGACCTCTAGGGCTTTGGGGTCACAGGCATCCATACGTGGACAATGCCACAGGGCCCACATGGAGCTCACTCCTGCTGACACCAAACCAGTTGGCCAATTCCAGTGCTTGCACACTCCAGTTCTCATCTGAAGTTGAGAGTGGAAGGCTGAGTAAATGAGGTACCCTTGTAGTGAGTCCTGTATACTCTTTTTCTATTGTTTGGAATAGTTTCAGAAGGAATCGTACCAGCTCCTCTTTGTACCTCTGGTTGAATTCAGCTGTGAATCCACCTCATCCTGGGCTTTTTTTGATTGGTAGGCTATTAATTACTGCCTCAATTTCAGAACTTCTTATTGGTCTATTCAGGGATTCGACTTCTTCCTGGCTTAGTCTCGGGAGGGTGTATGTGTCCAGGAATTTATCCATTTCTTCTAGATTTTCTAGTTTATTTGCATAGAGGTGTTTGTAGTATTCCCTAATGGTAGTTTGTATTTTTGTGGGATCAGTGGTGATATCCCCTTTATTATTTTTTATTGTGTCTATTTGATTCTTCTTTCTTTTCTTCTTTATTAGTCTGGCTAGCGGTCTATCTATTTTGTTAATCTTTTCAAAAAACCATGTCCTGGATTTATTGATTTTTTGAATTTTTTTTGTGCCTTGATCTCCTTCAGTTCTGCTCTGATCTTAGTTATTTCTTGTCCTCTGCTAGCTTTTGAATTGGTTTCCTCTTGCTTCTCTAGTTCTTTTAATTGTGATGTTAGGGTGTTGATTTTAGATCATTCCCACTTTCTCCTGTGGGCCTTTAGTGCTATACATTTCCCTCTAAACAGTGCTTTAGCTGTGCCCCAGAAATTCTGAAACATTGTGTCTTTGTTCTCCTTGGTTTCAAAGAACATCTTTATTTCTGCCTTCATTTCGTTATGTACCCAGTAGTCATTCAGGAGCAGGTCATTCAGTTTCCATGCAGTTGTGTGGTTTTGAGTGTGTTTCTTAATCCTGATTCCTAATTTGATTGCACTATGGTCTGAGAGACTGTTTGTTATGATTTCCATTGTTTTGCGTTTGCTGAGGAGTGTTTTACTTCCAGTTATGTGGTGAATTTTAGAATAAGTGCGATGTGGTGCTGAGAAGAATGTACATTCTGTTGATTTTGGGTGGAGAGTTCTGTAGATATCTATTAGGTCCACTTGGTCCAGAGCTGAGTTCAAGTCCTGGATATCCTTGTTAATTTTCTGTCTCATTGATCTGTCTAATATTGACAGTGGGGTGTTAAAGTCTCCCACTATTATTGTGTGGGAGTCTAATTCTCTTTGTAGGTCTCTAAGAACTTGCTTTATGAACCTGGGTGCTCCTGTATTGGGTGCATATGTATTTAGGATAGTTAGTTCTTCTTGCTGAATTGATCCTTTCACCATTATGTAATGCCCTTCTTTGTCTTTTTTGATCTTTGATGGTTTAAAGTCTGTTTTATTAGAGACTAGGATTTCAAACCCTGCTTTTTTTTTTTTTTTTTGCTTTCCATTTTCTTGGTAAATATTCCTCCATCTCTTATATTTTGAGCCTACGTGTATCTTTGCACGTGAGATGGGTCTCCTGAATACAGCATACCGATGGGTCTTGACTCTTTATCCAATTTGCCAGTCTGTGTCTTTTAATTGGGGCATTTAGCCCATTTACATTTAAGGTTAATATTGTCATGTGTGAATTTGATCCTGTCATTATGATGATTTTGCCCGTTAGTTGGTGCGGTTTCTTCATAGTGTCGATGGTCTTTACAATTTGTATGTTTTTGCAGTGGCTGGTACCAGTTTTTCCTTTCCATATTTAGTGCTTCTTTCAGGAACTCTTGTAAGGCGGGTCTGGTGTTGACAAAATCTCTCGGCATTTGCTTGTCTGTAAAGGATTTTATTTCTGTTTCGCTTATGAAACTTAGTTTGGCTGGATATGAAATTTTGGGTTGAAAATTCTTTTCTTTAAGAATGTTGAATATTGGCTCCCACTCTCTTCTGGCTTATAGAGTTTCTGCAGAGAGATCCACTCTCTGCAGAGAGATCCATATACACCATGGAATACTATGCAGCCATAAAAAATGATGAGTTCATGTCCTTTGCAGGGACATGGATGAAACTGGAAGCCATCATTCTCAGCAAACTAACACAGGAACAGAAAACCAAACACTGCATGTTCTCACTCATAAGTGGGAGTTGAATAATGAGAACACATGGACACAGGGAGGAAAACATCACATACCGGGGCCTGTCATGGGATGGGGTGATAGGGGAGGGATAGGGTGATAGGGGAAGGATAGCATTAGGAGAAATACCTAATGTAGATGATGGGTTGATGGGTGCAGCAAACCACCATGGCATGTGTATACCTATGTAACAAACCTGCATGTTCTGCACATATATCCCAGAACTTAAAGTATAATAAAAAAATAGCCAAACTTCCAATGTGTTTCATTATAATAGTTCTCAGTTTGCCTTCATTGAGACTAAGAGCTTTGACTATGAGCAATGTTAATTGCCATTTCTTCAGTTTTCTATCATGTTTTAAAGATTTTATTAACTAAATATTTTCAGCTTTCTATTTTCCCTTCAGGTACACAAAGCTTTTTCCAATAGCTTTTACCTTTGAACTGTAGCCATGAGATAGCAATACAAACTTACCTGTCTATGAACATGTTTACATGACTAAACTTTGTTTGCCCCAATAGGTAACCCAATGTAGGCTGTGAACCAAAATTTTGGGTAAAGCAACTTTAATGGCAGTTTTATTCTTAAAGACCCAAACCTCCCCAGGCTCCAAAGAATATTAGGGTCAAACAGCACCTCAGGACATCACCTGGAACCTACTAACTAGGCACATACCTGCGTAGAACAGCAGCATAAGATCCTGAAAAAAACACACTTTCTCATTCAATAGAAAACTCCAGATTCCAAAGAATATTAGGGCCAAACAGTGTTACAAAAGAATATCTGTTTATTGAATTCTAATTTTTCATGAAACACACACAAACAATCACCAAAACACAATCCAACTACTGCAGAAACACACAAGCCCCAAGAATGTCCAAACTGAAACAATCTGAATGCTTCCCTTTCCATTAGGTGGACTTGGTCAATTTGTAAACAAAAATTACTGCAGAATTTGTCAAATTGAGAGGAGTCAATCCCACTGTCTGGTACCCACAAAAAACACTGACATGCCCAGACACATAAACAAAACACACAATTACACATAAGCCCCCAGAAGCGTCCATACTGAAACAGTCAGGGTGTTTCCCTCCTCTCTCAGTCAGTAGGGCTTATTCAACCTGCAAATGGGAATTCCTTTAAAATTTTCCTGGTGTTTCAGTAACACCAGGAGTTCAGTCTAGCTCCTGCTACTCCTGTTGGCTGTATAGAAAGCCAATCACTGAGATAATGGTTATCACCAAGGGAGAGTCTTTAATCAAGTGCTACAGCAAAGAAGATGTGAGATCAGTCTTAAATCCATCTCCCTGACTAACTGAAATTAGATTATATACAGGGAAGAAATGTAACAATGAATTGGAAAAGGGAAACTCAGGATGGTTAAGGAAGCAATCATGATGAATGAGGGGCCTGACATCTCATTGTCAGAATGTGATGATCTGGTGAGTTTCAATTCTTTGATACCATTTGAGAGGCCTGGTATGTAATTGTCTGGATCTGGTGAGTTTCACGTTTTAAGATCAGAAAGGTCAATTTCTATGTTAATCAAAAAAAATAAAACACTGTCTATGGGACTATTTGGTATGTTTCAGTTTCAATTATTCTTGAAATTAATATACACCTGAACTTTGGCAGTATCAGAAAGACAATCAATCTGATGGATATAGATTTACTAAATAGTGTAGAGGATTTAGCAGAAGGTTCACTAATGTCATGTTTGCAAAAAGTGAAAAGCAGTTGCTTTCATCACTAAGATACATAATGTTTTCTGAAACTGTATTCCAGTCCATGTGTTTGATTACCAAATACCCTGTGCTAAATGGATACCCTAACCAATTTCCCTTGGGACTGGACTCTGCATTCGTTCCTTAGCAATTTTCCTTCCCAAAAGTTCAGTTTTTACTCCTGTCTCTTCACAATTCACTCATATTTCACATAATTATATTATAACAATTAATAGATACAGGGGTTATTGCAGTTCCCAGGCTTATAAAAATACTTTTAAAAGCTTTTATTGGTGTCTTTTGAGTCCATTTTCTTGGGGATAGGTCTGTGTCAACCAAAAGAAACACAACACAGTGATTTGTGTGAATGAACTATAGCATGTGATGGTGAAAAGCATTAAGAATTAAGGATCTAGAATTAGGGATCTACATTCCCATTTTGAACCTAATATGTGCCACAGTCTTAGGTCTGATACAATAACTATGAAATAACTGAAAAGTCTAAACATGGCACAATTATAAAATTTATAGTTTTCCATGCTCCTATTCCTTCACTGTCTCATATTTTACATGCCAAGTTACTTTTACTTAATTATATTTCTGTAAAAAGTAATTCTCACACCCGCGTACACACACACAGGCACTCAAACCACACGGAAATACACCATACCCCCCAACCTCACCTCCATTGTGTTCCAACAAAATGTATGTACACAATTTTTAGTTCTTTTACTATCCCTAAACAGTGCCTAGAATATATATATGACTATATTTTTTTGATATGCAGCCTTATAATTATTGACATAGAGGCAATCTATTTTGACTAGTTTGTATTCTTGTCACCAAATTCTTCAATGTCACTCACTTTATTAGATACTAATGGCACAGGACTTGTCTACAAACAATCAAAACAGCAAACCAATCATTACTTTCAAGTTATGTTCAAATTTTGGTAAGTTTACTGAAAGAAGAAAAAATAATCTCAGATGATTTTGTTAAGTTTGCAAGTAGGTCATGTAAACATATCTTGAAATAAGAAAAATTTCAATAGCTTCTTTCCCCAAACTCCAGAAATGTAAAACTAAAATAAAAGGAGAAAAGTGTTACCACCAATATGTATAAGTGAATATACATATGTATACAGATACATATATATAGTAAGTAAACTGGATACTAGAGTATAATGCTTATAAAATGTAGATATTTTGAAATAAATGTTTGTCATCTTAAAAGGAAAATATACAAAGAGAATGGAATGTATAAGAATTTAGACTTACGTAGGAATTTTAATAGCATGGAAACACGAGTCATTTTATGTACCATAAAAGGCAATGTTTTTGCTTAATAAAATAACACAACTTATTCTCCATCAAAGTGTACACAAACCCACACACACACACATATATAGGACATTTCATATATATGCATATAATTTGCACATATAAATTATATAGGCACAAATATTTAATATTTTTATTGGAATGATAACCCATTATGGTAGATAAAAGCCATGAAATTTAGAGACATTCTTATATTTAATATAATTATGCAGTTTCAAGAACGTAATCCTGTATGTCTGAATTTGTAAGAAATAATAACAAATGGTTGGTGATTTGAAAAGTGTTTTGTGTATGGTTATAATAAAATCTTTTGTGAAATTGTTTTAAATCTTGATTTCCTTATTAAATGTACACTTTTTATGCACAATAGTTATATTGAGTTAATTAACAGAAACACAGTGGCATTGCTACAGTTGCTGTGAACTGTATCATGATTCATATACACGTAGTGTGCACCTGCAAAGAGAGACAAGACAAAAAGAGAAAAATATAAATTCAGTTCTTTTTTTAATAACAGAATGGGAAATCATCTTAGAAAAGCAAAATGCCATATTGGAAGCTTTTCTTTTTTATTGTTTCTACTAGATTGTCTTCATAAAAGGAATTAGACATGAAAAGTTTTCCCACTGCCAAAGATAGTCTCTCTGAGCCTTTTTTAGGTTTAGTCTTGTTTAAGTGCAGTGAATGGATTAATGACCTTTCAAGATCCCTTCTAGTTCTATCTTTCAATAGACATCTCTAACTAAAGAAAAGAAAGAATAACACAGTTTGATCTTATACATAAAATATGCTTCTAAAATGTGTGCATAATGTGAATTCATAACGATATACAAAGTCACATTTTCTCAGTTACAATTTCACACCTGTACTTTTCCACAGGAATATTTGGCCCTAACATACAATAAATACTGCACTTAAGAATTCTAATATCAATTTCAAATAGCTATATATCATTGTATACAGTCTGCAAGTTAAAAAATTAAGTTGTGTAGCCATTTATTTTTAATAGTAGGCAATTTTAATTGTAGATATACGTATATCTTTTCATTGATTTGTGTATCATTAAGAGGTCTCTTTCGTAAAGGGATTTGAATCTGAATGTGTTCACCTTGTGTAGTTCTCATGCTAATTTAATTTCTGGAAGGGATGAAAGAATCTATTTTTCTTTTCTTTTTAAGGTAAAACCAGTTTATTTTATCATCTAGTACACATTTATAAAATGTTCAATGTAAAATACAAGCAGATGATAAGAATAAGCTCTTTTAATTAATCACATTACATAAATGATATTTAAACACATAGACAAGAGTTACTAAGGGCTGACTCATTTTTGCAGAAAATCTTGGAAGTCCACATTATGAGCTGGGTTATTTTGTAGCATCTTTCAAATGTTGCTGTGACTTTAGTACAAATGTTTATAGGTGAGACATTCTGACAGGGTAAACCCAGGCCGCTCTTCAATTGCTTCAGCATGGAAAAGCAAAACTGTTCTATCAGCAAATGCTTAGAGTGAGGTTTAAACTACACAAGAAAAGATAGATAATCTATGCT